>NC_000002.12:83833775-84139159 GCF_000001405.40 Homo sapiens
TTCTTAAGTCAGGCAACTACTAACTGTTTTCCTTCAGAAAGAATAATATTTGCAACTTTATATCTTTCTATAATGTTTCAGTTTTCTTTCTAGGAGAAGCTGACATAAAAGGGATTTGTTTGTTTTACTTTGTTTATTCTCTTTTGGTTTTTGTTGTTATTGTCTAAATTTCAGCTGGTGTTTTCTAGGCAATCAGTCTTCAACCTATAAGTCATTTGTGTTTCCTCATTTATATATTTTGCATTAAACAAAAAATAAAACTGGAAAAATACTACTTACAAAGCATTGAGGGGAAAGAGAAAGTTTTGCTGAAAATCAGGTGTACTGCTTTTTACGTTTGAGCAAACCTATTAGAATCAAGTGACACCTCCTCTCTCCAGGTAGAGACTGTCAGGCCTCTGAGCCCAAGCTAAGCCATCATATCGCCTGTGACCTGCACGTGTACATCCAGATGGCCTGAAGCAACTGAAGATCCACAAAATAAGTGAAAATAGACTTAACTGATGACATTCCACCATTGTGATTTGTTTCTGCCCCACCCTAACTGATCAATGTACTTTGTAATCTCCCCCACCCTTAAGAAGGTTCTTTGTAGTTCTCCCCACCCTTGAGAATGTGCTTTGTGAGAGCCACCCCCTGCCCACAAAACATTGCTCCTAACTCCACCACCTCTCCCAAAACCTTTAAGAACTAATGATAATCCCACCACCCTTTGCTGACTCTCTTTTTGGACTCAGCCCACCTGCACCCGGGTGAAATAAACAGCCTTGTTGCTCACACAAAGCCTGTTGGTGGACTCTTTACACGGACACATGAGACAGAGATCAGCTGGTGTCCTTGCCCTTCCTCAAATGACACAGCTTTCAAGGAAGTTTAAGAAAACATATAAAATACAAGAAAAGAAAATAAATGACTTAAGGCAGAATTTTTCAAACTGTTATTTCACAGAGTACTGTTGTGCGACATGTTTTTCAGTAACAAAATATTTATGAGAGACACTTGCTTTAAAAATAAATTATTGATCACCCAAGAACACTCTAGATAATGTATTATATTAAGGTAATTTGTGGCTGTCAAAGAAGGGGTATATAGTATGCAACCTTTCATTACCTACCTATTCCCAGCACTGACTTCTTCAGAATATCCCTTTTGTGAAATGCTATAATAGGAAAGCTGGTCAAAATAAAACTAAGAATAAAGAATCTGCTATAGAAATGTATACTATGATTCCTTGTAGTTGTTAGAAGTAAAACACAAATTTGACTCACTTGCAGATGTTACCGGGGGTCCTTGCTCACAGAGCTTCCAAATGGTGGCGAGCCACTTCCAAGATGGTGGCGGGCTGCTTCCAAGATGGTGGCAAGCCTCTTGTTCTCTGACCTGGGGTTCTTGGCCTCACAGATTCCAAGGAATGGAATCTTGGGCCATGCAGTGAGTGTCATAGCTCTATTAGAAGCCGTGGGTCACAGAAGAGAACCGTGGAACCCAGTGACTAGTGTTCAGCACGATTAGGACAAACCCAGGCACTTAGCCATGCAGGAACAATGGCAAGCCTTTAGCCCGATCAGGAGTGTGCTCCCTGGATCAGGAGCACAGCCGACAACCTGCAGGATCCAGAGGGATGGAAGTCAGCAGAGGGTCTGTGAGGGCGGCAAAACAGCAGTGGTGGACAGCGAGCAAAAGCTCAGCTCCAGCCCTAACAAACATGGACCAGAAGAGTGCAGTTGCAAGATTTAATAGAGTGAAAAGAGTGAAAACAGAGCTCCCATACAAGGGGAGGGGACACAAAGGGGGTTGCCATTGCTGGCTCCAATGCCTGGGTTTATATCCTGATCATTGTCCCTCCCACTGTGCTCTCAGGCAACAGATGATTGGCTATTTCTTTACCTCCTGCTTTTTGCCTAATTAGCATTTTAGTGAGCTCTCCTTACTATCTGATTGGTTGGGTGTGAGCTAAGTTGCAAGCCCCGTGTTTAAAGGTGGAAGTGGTCACCTTCCCAGCTAGACTTAGGGATTCTTTGTCAGCCTAGGAAATCCAGCTACTCCTGTCTCTCACAAATGCCTGGTGAGAAAAGTTTCAATATAAGCCATTTTGTATACATATATATGTATTTATATGTATTTATTTTATAAAAATATATGTATTCATTATATATGTATATAAAACAGCTCATATATGTACATATGTATACATATGTGTATATAAAATGTACATATATATGTATATTTTAGGACAAGAACATTTTCCCAATACTGCTGAGACTAGTAAAATTCCATTGAAGAGAATACTGAGAGATGTTATTGATAAAGATTTCCATAATTTTTGATCAACATGACAACATTCCTTCTCTGGTCCCACTTTATGGCTGATGAATGAGCCCGAGGAAATCACAATGGCACAGACTCCCACTACCTCAAATCATGATCTTTAATGTCAACTGGATATTAAACACCATTTAATTCAAATGAGCTCCTTTAACCTGCCTCAAACCTGTAGAGATTATTCTGGTCTCTCAGTAGATGACCTTGACTGAGAGAAAATTTATGCTCTTAGCTGTGACCTCTCTCAATTCTGCACCCCTATTCTTAAGCCTTCTCCATAGATGTAACCCCCTCACCTCTTAACACCAGTCTTAAAAAAAGAAAATGTTGGCTGGTGGCGGTGGCTTATGCCTGTAATCCCAGCACTTTGGAAGGCGGAGGCGGGCAGATCATGAGGTCAGGAGATTAAGACCATCCTGGCCGACATGGTGAAACCCCATGTCTACTAAAAATGCAAAAATTAGCTGGGGGTGATGGCGGGCTCCTGTAGTCCCAATTACTCAGGAGGTTGAGGCAGGAGAATTACAGTGAGCTGAGATGGCGCCAGGAGGCAGAGGTCACAGTGAGCTGAGATCATGCAACTGCACTCCAGCCTGGGTGACGGAGTGAGACTCCGTCTCAAAAAAAAAAAAAAAAAAAAAAAAAACACCAAGAAAATATTATATTTGGTTTCAGGTTAAACATTTCCTCCATGACATTCTATTTGGTTCATTTTTATAATTTCTATCTTTTTAGTGATATTTTCTATTTGGTGAGACTTTATTTTCCTAGCTTAGTTCTTTGTCCATGGTTGTTTTAGGCTCTTTAAGCATATTTAGAACAGTTGATTTAAAGTCTTTGTTTAGCAAGTCTAATGCCTAGACTTACACAGGCACAGTTTTATTCATTTCTTATATTCCTGTGGCTGGGCTATACTTTCTTTTTTCTTTGTGTGGCTCACGATTTTTTGCTAAAATGAGATATTTTAAATACTATAATGTGTCAACTCTGGAAATTAGAGTTTTCCCCTCTCACCAGGGTTCATTGTTGCTGTTTATTGTGCGTTGTTGTTGTTTGTTTATTGACTTTCTTACATTACTTTTGTATAAAGTCTGTATTCTTTGTTGGGTATGATCACCGGAGACTGTATTCCAGTAGCTTAGTGGTCAGCAAGTGTTTTGAAAGAGATTTCTTTAAGCTGCTAGAACAAAGAAAAAGAAAAGGAAAACAATTTTCAGTGTTTTGATGATTGGCTCTGTGTTGGGGCCTCCTTCAATACTTGTCCAAACCATTTACAACTCTGCCTTAGCCTTCACTTGGAGGTTATCCAAAGACAGACTTGGGACCTTCTCAGCCCTTTACCGAGAATATATCAAATTCTGCTCATGAACGTGTCCTTCTTGATTCCCTGGTATACAGAGGGATTTTAAAGCCTTTATTCCCCCAGCTGGGCATGGTGGCACACACCTGTAATCCCAACACCTTAGGAGGTGGAGGCAGGTGGATTCCTTGAGCTCAGAAGTTAGAGAAAAACTGGAGCAACATAGCCACACCCTGTCTCTACCAAAAATACAAAAAAAAAAAAAAAAAAAGCCAGATGCGGCATGCACCTCTGGTCCTGGCTACTCAAGAGGCTGAGGTGGGAGAATCGCTTGAGCCCAGGAGGCAGAGGTTACTGTGAGCCGAGATCATGCCACAGCACTCCAGCCTTGGTGACAGAAGGATACCCCATCTCAAAAAAAAAAAAAGAAAAAAGAAAAAAAAAAGTCTTTATTTCCCCATGTATCCCCTTTCCCAACGTCTGTTTTTCCAGATTTTTGAGGCTGTCTACTTCTTTTCCAGGTGGTTCTCCCTTGCCTGAGACTGTTGCAGTCAATACTATGACCTTTAGATACTTTCAGCAAATGCCACCCAGGAAGCTCAGTCCCTAAATACTCTGAGTTACACTAAACAAAGGCAAGCCCTTTTGCCAGTCTTTCAGGAAGCCACCAAACGGACTGAAATCATTACTTGTGAATAAGGACTGTATTGTGCCTTCGGGCACTAGCAAACTGCCCCAAGAGTATGAGCTTCCATATTTATTGCTACTGCCCATCTAGGGCATGAAGGATGGCAAGCAAAGAATTTAAAATGTCACAGGACTCTCTTACTGGGTGTAGCAGTTTTTTCCTTCATTAAGCATTCGTGCAGTGGTTGTAAGATTTTGACTACATTCTAGAGTTCTGTGACAGTTGATTCAGACAACTTTTACAAGCGTAGTAATTGACTTTGTGAAGGAATCAAAGCTTGTAGTTCCCTACTCTGACATTTTTGGTGATGTTATTCTCCTCTGTGCTTTTGATCTGCAGCTTTAAATAAAGCAGTACTCCATCAGGTATTTCTCTTTTCAATGCCTTCTTTCTAACACATTTACAGCCTATTGAAATATTCCCCATTACAGACAAACCAAACCAAATAAGTGGAAGACTTGACCCCTCCCTCCGTATAGCACCACCTGTAGCTTATATTCTACTTCTCCTTCCCCTCTGCATCCAAGCCCTTCAAAAAGATTAACTTTTTTTTTTTTTTAAACTGTCTCTATGCCTTCCCCCTTGCCATAAAGACCTTCCTGACCATTCAGGTGGAATTGAATCTTTGATTCATTTTACCTTGCTTCCAGTATATAATGTTGTCATGCCAGATACAACAGCTTTTTTGCACTTACTTATTTACTCTGTCCTTGTAAGTCTGAGTCCTTCAGAGGTAAGACCATGCCTGTTTTTGTATATCTAGATTTTAGTATAATGTCTAGCGTATGTCTAAAACTTAATACCTGTGTTGAATCAAATCCTCACAATAGATCTAAGACTAAATTTATGAAACTATTATTTAAACATGCATCAAAGGAATTTGCATAGTTTCACAATGGAATATATTTTAAATGATTTTATAAGAAAATAATGCAAACCAGATGCATAGCCCTCTAATTATCTGATGTCATTTAGTAATACATTTTAAACATTTATAGGAATAAATGGACTGAGTGCTTTTTAGGAACCCTCTGTTAACATAAAGCTTTCTTTTCTTTTTTTTTTTTTTTAACTTCTTTGTGTCCCAGTTTTCTTTTTTTTGTTTTTTTTTAATTATACTTTAAGTTTTAGGGTACATGTGCACATTGTGCAGGTTAGTTACATATGTATACATGTGCCATGCTGGTGCGCTGCACCCACTAACTCGTCATCTAGCATTAGGTATATCTCCCAATGCTATCCCTCCCCCCTCCCCCGACCCCACCACAGTCCCCAGAGTGTGATATTCCCCTTCCTGTGTCCATGTGTTCTCATAGTTCAATTCCCACCTATGAGTGAGAATATGGGGTGTTTGGTTTTTTGTTCTTGCGATAGTTTACTGAGAATGATGATTTCCAGTCTCATCCATGTCCCTACAAAGGACATGAACTCATCATTTTTTATGGCTGCATAGTATTCCATGGTGTATATGTGCCACATTTTCTTAATCCAGTCTGTCATTGTTGGACATTTGGGTTGGTTCCAAGTCTTTGCTATTGTGAATAATGCCGCAATAAAAAAGAGCTTCTGCACAGCAAAAGAAACTACCATCAGAGTGAACAGGCAACCTACAAAATGGGAGAAAATTTTCGCAACCTACTCATCTGACAAAGGGCTAATATCCAGAATCTACAATGAACTCAAACAAATTTACAAGAAAAAAAAAAACAACCCCATCAAAAAGTGGGCGAAGGACATGAACAGACACTTCTCAAAAGAAGACATTTATGCAGCCAAAAAACATATGAAAAAATGCTCATCATCACTGGCCATCAGAGAAATGCAAATCAAAACCACTATGAGATACCATCTCACACCAGTTAGAATGGCAATCATTAAAAAGTCAGGAAACAACAGGTGCTGGAGAGGATGTGGAGAAATAGGAACACTTTTACACTGTTGGTGGGACTAGAAACTAGTTCAACCATTGTGGAAGTCAGTGTGGCGATTCCTCAGGGATCTAGAACTAGAAATACCATTTGACCCAGCCATCCCATTACTGGGTATATACCCAAATGACTATAAATCATGCTACTATAAAGACACATGCACACGTATGTTTATTGCGGCATAAAGCTTTCAATAAAGGGTAAAGAGCAGGGATTTGAGTCGACATTATATATATATATATATATAAAACCAAAATGCAGATATTATATATAACAAGTTAGTTAATGGAAGATTGACACAATAATAATCACCTGTGTGATAGGTGGGGTTATAAAATTACAGCCTGGTCACAATCTATAACTGAATAGATGGTCAGTTCAGCTCAACACAAGTTAGATTACCAACAGATAGGCAGGGTCAAAAGATTCCCCAGAAGATAATTTGGAGATCAGTTTAACACTGAAACAAATGATGATAACTTTTTCCAAAATTCTATGCCATTTAAACAGAAATGCTTTTCACCTGGGAAATTTTTCAGGTAGGCATCACCAATCAACCATTAAAAAATAGAATATGATAATGTAAATAAATATCATGGTAGGCAAAAACTGTCATGAGCATGAGCCCAGAACTCATTTGCTATGTCAAATACATCAATTTCCAGTCTAATTACCTGGAGCAAATAGTCTAATTTTATGAATTCAAGTCTCTCTATCTTTGGAACAATTAAAACATTTATATAGGTCTTTAAGCCAGGTACAGTTTTATGTGTTTTATATATATTAACTTATAAAATCTCACATCAAATCCTATGAAGTAGGTGCTATTTTTAAAATGAGGGAACCAAAACACAGAGAAGGTAAGTATACTGTCCATGGCTACAAAGGTGAGAGTAAAGTAATAATTTAACTCAGATGGTATGACCCCAAAGTAAATGCTATGATTCATTACACTTGCTGTCTCTTAGCAAAAGTGATCACATGAAAATATCTATCTTTTGGGGTTACTGTGAAAATAAAATAAAATAATGTAGGCATAATAAGAGAAGTACTAATGCCTCAGAAAACAAAAGCTCTTATCTATTTATAAGAAATGTGATTTTTCTAAGGAACCCTCTAAGTTATATTGATTTCAAACTATAAAGACCAAGAACTAAATGATTTCTTCTGTCTCTTAGATCAAGCATTAGCAAACTATTTTTACTTTATAAAAGGCTAGATAGCAAATATTTTAGAATTTGCTTGTCATATGGTCTCTGACTACTCAGCTCTTCCTTGTATAAATTCGTTTGCAAATAATGTACTACTAAACAAATAACATATAGAAATGTAATATATTTGCTAATAATATCACAAAGGTTATTTTTGCTGTTTGAGTTGGTGATATAGCAAAAGTGTATTGAGCTAAGGAAGTGACTCCAGATGGCAATTTGAATCCACAGGAACATATGAAGAAAAATGATAAGTAAAATGGTTTCTATAACAAAAGCTATTGATATATATTCATACTCCTTTTTCAATTAGTTTATTTTAAAAGCATAAAATTATATAAAGTAATAATTATGACCAAGTATTAGTGGATTAGTAACATTTATGAATGTATTAGGTACACCAATAATACCACAGAAAGGGGAAGGAGGGAATGGAGATATAAGCAATAAGTTCATATTTTATTGCAATTAAGTTGGTATTAATCTGAAACTGATAAGATATATATGGCAAGCCTCCCAACAACAATTAAGGAAATAAAAACTAAAGTGAAAAAAGTCACTAAAAATTAAAATATTACATTACAAAATATTAATTTAATGAAAAAAGCAGTTAAGGAATGATAAACAAAAATACTTGAGACACAGAAAACAAGATGTAAAATGGCAGACATAAAGCCAATTATAGAAAAATATCAGTAAATTGAATGGATTAAACAATTTAAGTGAAGAGCATGGATTGTCAAACTGCATCAAAAGCATAACCCAACTGCATGTCTATATGCTGTCTACAGAAAAAAAAAAACTTTATCTCTTTTTATTTTTATTTTTATTTTTTTAAGAGACAGGGTCTCTCCTCTCTCTGTCACCCAGGTTAGAGTGCAGTGGCGTGATCATAGCTCACTGCAGCCTTCAACTCCTGGGCTCAATTGTTGCTTCCACCTCAGCTTCCGAAAATGCTGGGATTACAGGCAAGAACCACTGCACCTGAAAACAAACTTTAGATTCAAAGATAAAGATAAATTAGGAGTGAAAGGATAGAAACATTATCATGCAAATAGGATCCACAAGAAAGCTGGGCTATCTATACTAATATTGGGCTAGACTTTAAACAAAACATGTTATGAGAGATTGAGAGGGTCAACCCATCAGGAAGATACAACCATAATAAATATATATTCATCTAATAACAGAAGGGAAAAATACAAGAAGCAAAAACTGAGTGAAAGAATTAGACCATTTCAAAATAATAGTTGGAAACTTTAATGTCCCAATTTTAATGATGGGTGGAAACAATTAGGCAAAAGTTTAACAAGGAAACATAAGACTTGAACAACACTATAAACCAACTGGAACCAACAGACAAGCCTAGAACACTATACCCAGCTACAGCAGAGTACATATTCTCAAGGGCACTTGGAGCATTCTTGAAGGTAGACCATAAAATAAGCCATAAAACAAACCTCCATACATTTTAAAGATTATAAAAACATACTAAAAAGTATGATCTCTGACTACAAGGAAGTAAAATTACAAATCAAGAAGAGAAATAAACCTGAAGACCTCAAAAATAAGGGGAAATTAAACAAGTCACTCCTAACTAACAAGCAGGTCCAAGAAGAAATCAAAGGGAAATTGGATAATACCTTGAGATGAATAAAAATAAAAGGGCAAATAGAGAATAGAAAAAAATTATTAATAAAACTAAAAGCTGTTTATTTGAAAATGTCAAAAAAATTCAAACTTTACCTAGGTTTACCAAAAACAGAGAATATTCAAATTTCTAGAATTACAAATGAAAGAGGGATCATTAGTACTGACCTCACAGAAATAAAAAGGATTATTAAAAGAAAAATGAATAATTGTATGCCAAAATTAGTGCCCACTAAGAAAAGTCTAGGCCCAGATGGCTTCACTGATGAATTTTACCAAGAAGTTAAAGAATTAGTCACCTATTATTTCAAAAGATGGAAGAGGAGATACATTTCCTCAGTCATCCTGATATCAGAATTCCTCTGACACTGAAACAATATAAAGACATCATAAGAAAGAAAACTATAGACCAAAATCTCTTATAAATGTAGATGCAAAAATCCCAAGTCAAATACTAGCAAACTTAATCCAACAGTATGATAGTGTGATAGTTAGTTTTATTTGTCAACCTGGCTGGAGCAGGGGATGTTCAGATGTCAGGTTAAATATTTCTGGGTAGGTCTATGAGGGGTTTTTTTTTTTTTCAGGATGAAATTAGCATTTGGATTAGTGTAGTCATTCAGTAAAGTAAATTGCCCTCCCTAGCGTGTGGGGATGGGTATCATCCAATCTGCTCAGGCCTACGTAGAATAAAAGACATAGGAAGAGGAGTTTCCCCCTTTTTTTCCCTACCTCACCATTTGAACTGGGACATTTCCTCTTATCTTCTCCTGCACTTGAACTGGCATTTACACCATCAGGTCCTCTTGTTTTCACATCTTTGGACTTGGGCTGAATTATAACATCAGCTTTCCTGGTTCGTCATCTTGCAGATATAAGATCATGGGACTTCTCCACATGGTAATTGCATGAGCCAATTCTTCATAATCTCTCTCTCTCTCTCTCTGTCTATCGTATTGGTTTTGCTTCTCTGGAAAGCCCTGACTAATTCAACAACATAATAAAATAATTACACACCATAACCAAGTGGGATTTATTTCAGCAATGCAAGATTGGTTTAATATCTGAGTTTTAATTACTGTGATACAGCTTATCAATAGAATTTAAAAATCACATAATCACTTCAAAGATGCAGAAAAAACATTTGACAATATTCTTTCATGATTAAAAAAATACTCAACAAATTAGTAATAGGAGGTAATTTCCAAACTGATAAAGACCATCTATTAAAAACCCACAGTTAACAATATTCCTTAATAATAAACAGCTAGATCCCTTCTTCACAATTTCAGGAACAAGACAAGGGTGTCTTCTCTTACCACTTTTATTCAACATTGTACTGGAGGTTCTAGCAGGGCAATTAGGAAAGAAAAAGTAATACAAGACATCCAGATTGGAAAGGAAGATGTAAAATTAACTTTATTCACAGATGACATGATCTCGTATGCAGAAAATTCTGAGAAATACACTAAAAACTGTGAAAATGAATAACATGCTTAGCAAGGAGTTTGTAGGATACAAGGCATACAAAAACCAACTATATTTGCACACACTTTTTATGAACAATTGAGAATGAAATTAAGAGAACAATTTCATTTACAATACTATCAAAAAGAAAGTACTATAGAAATAAATTTAATCAAATAGTGTAAGACTTGTACATTAAAAACAGCAAAGTATTGCTGAAAGATAATAAAGGTACACATGTACATATTCCTTAGCTCTATTAATTAAAGGGTCTAAGCCCTAAAACACCCAAATAGTACATAGCAATCCTCATACCCATATCTTGGCTTGTAAATACCATTCTCCACCATAAGGAGCCAGTACTCCTTGGAGAATTGGCTGATTCCTAGATTGTGACAGGGAAAGTCCGAGATCATACTATAACATCTTATAACTGAAAGTACGAAGGTGTTCTAAAAATGATGAGGTCATGTCAAAAAAAAAAAACAAAAACCCAGGAGCCAGCTCAAAGGGTTCCTACTGACCAGATCTGGGATTATTAGATCATCAAAACATAAAATAACAGTAATGAAATATGACCTATTTAATAATGTAGTGAATTATGAGTCCAATCTAATATAAATAAATAAATCAGGAGGAGATAAATAGTTTTTACAGTGGAATGCTGACAAATGAAATAGAAGGAATGATGGATTTAGGGAATCTCCATTTGACAACCATAATAGCAATAATTAATTCAGTTAAGTGAATACTAAAATTAGTGAATGGAAATATGTGAAAAATAAAATATTTGCATAGTATCAAGGTATTTCCTCACAAAATGTTTACTGATTACAGGAGGGGAAACTTTATAGTGGAGAAGCCTGGCAGACACTATTTTGCCCATTGGGTAAGGCTATCAGTACTAGCATTACACAAATCAAAGTCTTATGCTGGGCGGGCATCATGGCTCATGCCTGTAATCCCAGCACTTTGGGAGACTGAGGCGGGTGGATCACCTGAGATCAGGAGTTTGAGACCAGCCTGGCCAACACGGAGAAAACCCGTCTCTACTAAAAAATAATATAATAATAATAATAATAATACAAAAATTAGCCAGGTGTTGTGGTGGGCACCTGTAGTCCTAGCTACTAGGGAGGCTCAGGCAGGAGAATTGCCTGAACCCGGGAGGCAGAGGTTGCAGTGAATCTAGATCGTGCCACTGCACTCCAGCCCGGGAGACAGAGCAAGACTCTGACTCAAACAAACAAACAAAAAAATCTTATGCCATGCAATCAATAAATGTAGTGAGAACACAGCATCACTGCTTTGATTTTCCTGCCAAAACACAATATTAATCCAGTTAGTCTTACATACGAGTGTCACTAAAAAGTCAATAGGTATGTACTTGGATGGCTTTCTATAGATACTTTACAATTTCTTTTATCATAATTTTCTTGTTCTTGTCCAGTGTTCTTTTGGAATAAGCGGTTTAAAAAACATATTAATTTATGTTTTAAATTTTGCTGTTATCCTAATTATGGTTTAGAAATCGTATCATCTATTGCTATTCAATTAATAGAATTTCCTTCAAATGTCCACAGTATACTTGACATACAAATTCTTAATACTTTAAGCTCTTTATCATGGCATAAACAAAATGTAGAATGCTGTTTTGTATTCTAGCTTTAATGCATCTCTACCCAGCTACCTTCACCCAACACCCTTACACCGACACACACCCATCCTCTTGCTGCTCTGGTTTATAGGTTTATTTATTTATTTATTTTACAATTTGTTTTCTCCAGTAATTGAGGGTATTGTTTTGTTCTTTTATAATTTATAATGTTTTTATTGAGAATCTACTGTCAAAAACAATAAATGTTCTTGCTAAAGTTTGTTTAAAAATTTATATTCTTTATATATTAAGATTTGATACACACACACAAACACACACACACATTCCTTCACACTTGAACAGCAAAGTTTACATTTTCTATACCCTTTGTAGTTATTTTGGTTTGACACGCTAATTCCTATAGAGGTATGTTTAAATACTACTTCACTCTGATTATATATTTATCTGTTCCTTCTTATAATTTGTATCAAGTTGCTTTACATATTTTGATTTTACTGTTTGATGCATTTAAGTGAATTAAAGGAAGATACAATATTACATATTGGATATTATATATTATATATACATTTCCCTCCTCTTCCTTTACTTATGTATCCTTTCTCTTTTCTCCCTGTTCTGAGTAGCACTGTGGGTGTTACAGCACATTTTAAAGGCAGAGGCAGGTCAGGATGAAAGAAGTCCAGATTAGGGAAAGTTATAAATGAACTGCTTAATATGCATCTTGCCTCTCTAAGCACTATATATATATTTTTAAATTAGTCTGTCGTGACTAGACTAGTTCATTAGACGGCAGGTTCATGACAAAAACAAGAAAAAGAGCAGGACAAAAGGCCTTCTTAGAAAAATGAGATACACAGATGAATCGCTGGGTCTACTGTTTTCTTGGTTTCTGTCTTTTTTTTTTTTTTTCTCGCAGTGTGGAGGGATGGGGTAAGGGTTGAGAGGCACGAGCGAAAGAAGACTATGAATCTTCTAGTACCACTCACTCCACACCAGAGGAAAGGACAGAGCCAGGCTAACTGTCCACCTCAGGGTCACATTTACTAAACCCTTTGATTCAGGATGAAATATGTATGGCTACCATGAGTTTCAGCATATAAATTCAGGTATCCTCCTGCCCAGGTGTTCAACAACCTCTGACACCCAGATACTTACTGGTATCTCAGGATTTATGACAGAAAAGTTCGTACAAATGTCCATGGAAAATGTCCACATGCAGCTTAGCCAAAAAGGAGAAAAATGTAGTTATTCACAGCCCAGGCTTTAGAACCAGACATATCTGTGAGGAGATCCTAGCTCTGCTACTTACCAGCATGCACTCTTGAGCAAGTTACTTAATCATTTTGAAACCAAATGTCCTTATTCATAAAAGAGTGTCATAACATGTATCTTAATTTGCTCTTGTAAAAATTAAGTTAGATAATTTATATAGGGTTCTTTCTATAATGCCTAGCACATGGTAAGGAATCAATGAATATTTAGCCATATTAGCTACATTGTTTAGTTAGTTACAAAATAAATAGAGGCTGAATTCTAGGTGGGGACCAAAGCGCAACATGGCATAATTCCAACAAGCATAAGATTTCCTCCAACAGAAGTTCATAAATAATCTTGATCTACTGACTTTCTTAATCTCAGTAGCCTATGGATTATTCTCTGTATTGCTATGGCTTCCTTTTTTTCTAACTCAGTTTTTAGTGTCAGCAATAACACCTCATGCTGTCTACTCAGCTTCATCACCATGCTATAGTGTGACAAAGTATATTCATTTCTACCGTAGAGTCAGAAGAAAAGCTTCTCCTTCACCCTCTGAAGGTTTACTGAAAATGAACTGACAGAAGGCAGATTCATAGAAGGAAACACATACAAAATTTATTTGATGTTCATAAACATGGGAGAATTGCAGGTGAATGATTATTGAATAACCCTGTGAGGTCTAGGTGCTTATATATGTATCCTACTTTATAGGGGAAGGGGAAATGGGGGTTGTAGGACTAAATGATTTGCAGGAGAAAAGAATGAGCCCACACAAGGATTACCTAGGACAGTGTTTCTCTGAGCTCTGGGGAAGGTGATACGAAGGTGAGGGGTGAAACTTCACCTTAAATAAGGGTTGTATTATGTGCAGATAGAGCCTCCCAGGTAATCTCTCAGAGCTGCCTTCAGAAGAATACATAAAAAATCTGTCTGGTTGTGATGAGAACTCCCAGTCTCTTCTCTTCTCAGAGAGTTAAACTTTCCTAGTTATTTGATGAGATTCCTAGGGAAGGGGACTTCAGACAATTGTATTTTTTTTTTTTTAAGAATTTTTCTGCATCAGAGAAACAAATTCCAGAGAGTTGCTCCCAGTGCTTCATGAAAAAAAGAGGATTGAAGAGACAGGGGAAGATCAGATGAGAGAACTTGTGTCTTTCTGGAGGACCTTCAGTTTTCTTTAACTTGAGGCACTCAGCATGCCAAAGTGCTATATTTTGGGATATAATTTTTTTTTATTTTACTTTAAGTTCCGGGATACATGTGCATAATGTGCAGGTTTGTTACATAGGTATACATGTGCCATGGTGGTTTGCTGCACCTATCAACCCGTCATCTAGGTTTCAAGCCCTGCATGCATTAGGTATTTGTCCTAATGCTCTCCCTCCCCTTGCCCCAGACTCACCGACAGGCCCCAGTGTGTGATGTTCCCCTCCCTATGTCCATGTGTTCTCATTGTTCAACTCCCACTTATGAGTGAGAACATGCAGTGTTTGGTTTTTGTTCCTGTGTTAATTTGCTGGGGATGATGGTTTCCAGCTTCATCCATGTCCCTGCAGAGGACATGAATTCATTCTTTTTTATGGCTGCATAGTATTCCATGGTATATATGTGCCACATTTTCTTTATCCAGTCTATCATTGATAGGCATTTGGGTTGGCTCCAAGTCTTTGCTATTGTAAACAGTGCTGCAATAAACATTCGTGTGCATGTGTCTTTATAGTAGAATGATTTATAATCCTTTGGGTATATACCCAGTAATGGGATTGCTGGGTCAAATGGTATTTCTGGTTCTAGATCCTTGAGGAATTGCCACACTGTCTTCCACAATGGTTGAACTAATTTACACTCCCATCAACAGTGTAAAAGTGTTCCTATTTTCTCTGCACCCTCTCCAGCATCTGTTGTTTCCAGACTTTTTAATGATCGCCATTTTAAATGGCATTAGATGGTATCTCATTGTGGTTTTGATTTGCATTTCCCTAATAACCAGTGATGATGAGCTTTTTTTCATATGTTTGTTGGCCGCATAAATGTCTTCTTTTGAGAAATGTCTGTTCATATCCTTTGCCCACTTTTTGATGGGGTTGTTTGGTTTTTTCTTGTAAATTTGTTTAAGTTTCTTGCAGATTCTGGATATTAGACCTTTGTCAGATGGATAGATTGCAAAAATTTTCTCCCATTCTGCAGGTTGCCTGTTCACTCTGAAGATAGTTTCTTTTGCTGAGCAGAAGCTCTTTAGTTTAATTAGATCCCATTTATCAATTCTGGCTTTTGTTGCAATTGCTTTTGGTGCTTTAGTAATGAAGTCTTTGCTCATGCCTATGTTCTGAATGATATTGCCTAGGTTTTCTAGGGTTTTTATGGTTTTAGGTTTTATGTTTAAGTCTTTAATCCATCTTGAGTTAATTTTTGTGTAAGGTATAAGGAAGGGGTCCAATTTCTATTTTCTGCACATGTCTAGCCAGTTTTCCCAGCACCATTTATTAAATAGGGAATCTTTTCCCCATTACTTGTTTTTGTCAGGTTTGTCGAAGATCAGATGGTTGTAGGTGTGTGGTGTTATTTCTGAGGCCTCTGTTCTGATGCCCCAGAAATAACACCACACATCTACAACCCTCTGGGATATAATTTTCTGTGCCCCAACACTACCAAGATATGTTTGTACCTTTGTTTACAATCTAGTATTTTTCTTAATTCTGTTTAATTTCACCATGTATTAGTCCGTTTTCGCACTCCTGATAAAGACATACCTGAGACTGGGCAATTTACAAAAGAAAGAGGTTTAATTACTTACAGTTCCACGTGGCTGGGGAAGCCTCACAATCATGGTGGAAGGCAAGGAGGAGCAAGTCACATCTTAGATGGATGACAGCAAGCAAAGAGAGAGAGCTGGGGCAGAGGATCTCCTCTTTTGAAAACTATCAGATCTCGTGAGACTTATTCACTATCATGAGAACAGCTTGGGAAAGGCTTGCCCCCAGGATTCAGTTACCTCCCACTGGGTGCCTCTCACGAACAGCTTGGGAAAGACTTGCCCCCATGATTCAGTTACCTCCCACTGGGTGCCTCTCACAACATGTGGGAATTCAAGATGTGGTTTGGGTGGGGACATAGCCAACCCACATCACATCAGAAATAGTTAAATAGTTTAAAAATACATATTATGTTTTTCGAGAAATTTGGGTGGAATGTAGTAGAAATAGGCCAATAAAACAACATTTTTATTTACCTGTCAATGTAATCAAGTTGTTAACAATCTTCATATAACTAAAAAAAAATAAATCATAACTGGGTCATGAAATGTTTTAATGGCATACCAATGCTTCTACTCACACTTGCCTGTTTATGTATTACTAAACCTAGCTACAAAAGGAAAAATAAAATGCTGATATAAATAGAGAAAACTCAATAATGCCAATCATTCAATTCTTAGCTTTGCTGCTAAAATAAATTTAAGAAAAAATTTACATTAAAGTTGTGTTTGCATTGGCCATTATTGTGCAAAACATGATTTCTCAGCCTTGGCTCTATGGACATTTGGAGCCGAATAATTCTTTGTCATGAGGCCTATCATATGTACTATAGGATATTTAGCAATATCTCTGACCTCTATTCACCAGATGTCAGTAGTACCCCTCCCAGGTATGACAACCAAAAATGTGTCCAGTCATTTCCATGTCCCCTTGGGTGGGGGAGAGTGGCTTGCTCCTGGTTAAGAAGAACTGGTATAAACTAAAGGATGTTCAAAAGCAGGGAAGACACCTTTTGTCTTCATTTTTCATTTAATTTATATTTTTAAACTTTTGCTATTAATGCAAAGTAATGCACTATTGGAGGTTCTCTGTGCTGTACCCAAAGCACATTTTAAAAGTTGTTGGTCAAATTTAGCCTGCTCCTGATGCAGGATTTTTCTCAGTCATTTTGCCAGCTGGGGACCTCTGGCTGGCAACACCCTAGCCTGGGCCTTGCTCAGGCATGCTACCTGCCTCAGGAGGCAGCCAACCCACTCAGCCAACCTGGGCCATGCCTGGTTTGTGCACCAGTGCAGCCTGTGGCTGGGCCAGGCATGCCCCAGCCTGCCTGTGTTATAGCTCATAACTGCATTCGGCGGTTCCCAAGTCCTTGTCCGACATCCGAGAAGAATGAGGATACACTGACAAATGAAGGGTGAGGAGGGCAGAGAATTTTATTGAGCAATGAAACAGCTCTCAGTGGAGAAGAGATGCAGGGCTGGTCGCCTACCCAAAGTTGGGTGGTTTCTCTCCCAATGTGGCTGAGCCTGGGGCTTTTACGGGCTCAGAATAGGGGAGTGCATGCTAATTGGTTTGTAACTATGCAAAAAAAGTTAAAGGCATCACTCAAAGGTGGGTGGGCACAACAGGATAAAAAACCAATTAGGGAAGAGTAGGTATATGTAAAATATGTGAAAGGCGGGGATCAGTTAGAGGAAAGTGCACCAAACAGAAAGAGAGGTTCTCAATCCAGTCCATGGATTAACCTAGGACTTGTAGTTAGGCTTTAAACTATCTTTGGCTTGAGTATGGGGTTTCACCAGGGACCCACACCTGTCTGCCTAGGCATTTGTCTACTTCCTACTACTCTTACTCCCTTTGGCTCATATTTTATTCTGTTAAAAAATGTTGGACAAAGCAATGATAGACTGGATAAGGAAAATGTAGCATACATACACCATTTAATTCTATGCAGCCATAAAAAAGAATGATATCATGTCCTTTGCAGGGACATGAATGAAGCTGGAAGTCATCATTCTCAGCAAACTAGCACAGGAGCAGAAAACCAAACACTGCATGTTCTTACTCGTAAGTGGGAGTTGAACAGTGAGAACACAGGGACACAGGAAAGGGAATAACACACACCGTGGCCTGTCAGGGAATGGAAGACAAAGGAAAGCAGAGCATTAGGACAAATACCTAATGCATGTGGGGCTTAAAACCTAGATGACGGGTTGAAAGGTGCAGCAAACCACCATGACACATGTATACCTATGTAACAAACCTGCACATTCTGCACATGTATCCCGGAACTTAAAGTAAAAAACAAAAAATGTTGGACAAGATTTTCATCCAGTTGCACCTGACTTCTGAAACTAATCCTAAATGTCCTCTGAATGTATTATTGAAAGATTGTTTTCTTTTCATTTTCTTTTTTTGTTCCCCAGCACATCCAGCATGCAGAAACAGAAGATTGTTTTCATTACCATTTATTTTTTTATGTGACACAAGTAGACTGCTCCAGACCTTGCAAGGTCTGATTTGAATTTTTCAGAGCTTTCCTTTGCTGCTAATGGAATACCCCCTTTGTATATCCAAAACATTTTTCTTTGTTTCTCTTGAGCATGGATGCTATATAGAATCAACAGCATTGAATTGATCCAGTAGAAAGAGGCTTTTTGAGCAACATTAAAAATAGAAATGAAAATTGCAAGATTTTCTTTGGTTGCAATCCATTCCTTTATTTACATGGCACAAACATTACTACTTTTCTATACCAATGGCATAGGAGCCTAGCTCTGAAGGTCTCCTGGGAGTCATTTAGCATTTCATTTAGGTCCAGGCCACTGCAGATTATATTTTGTAAAGAAGGATAGAAATTTTTCTTTAAAATTCTACTAAAATAATCCAATAGTAGTTGAACAAGCTTCAAGTTTGTGCAACTTATGTGATCAGAATGAGTTCCAATTTAGCTTAAAAGTTCATCTCAATTCCAGGAGAATTAAGAGCTCATATGGGAGGGGTGATTGATGACTAGCAGGACAGCTTGAGAAACTCACTTCTAATGAAATGGTGAAACTTGATTTTTTAAAAAACTAAATCCTCTAGAAATACTCCTAAGGACATACTACAAATGGGAAAACATGTATTCAGAAAAAATCTATAAAAATTCAAAACTCTAACTTGAATAAATTAGTCTGAAGTTAAACGCTAAAAAAAAAAAAAAGAAAAATGCATGACTCAATGAAGTTTTGAAAATGATAGGGAAATCAGCTGACAGTTTCTGAAGTTTAACAGCCAGGTGTGATGAGGGAGAGACAAAGAGAGCCCTGCTCAAAACAAGGGATCATCCCAGGGTGACTGAATATACACAAACCTGAGTATGCCTAAGGTGCAACATCAGAGGTTACCAATATTCATATGTATGTTGGAGAGAAATATGTATTTTTAGCGTCCACTAAAAATCATTCACTCAGCTATTGTAATAAGAAAATAATAGTAATATGGTCTTAGAGGGAAGAAAGTACCCAGTGTGTATATATGAGATGCAGAGATACAGGAATACATGATTCATATGCTAGGAAAAAAAGAAGGCAAAACTAATCGCTTGTGAAAGCAATCAGCTGTCAGATTAAACAGAAAAAGACTTCAAAATAGCCATCATAAATGTATTCAAAGATGTAAAGGAGAACATAATTAAAGAGGTAAAGAAATGTAAAATGACAATGTCACATCAGAAAATAAATATCAATAGAGATACAATTTTCTAAAAAATAGACATTCTGGAGTTTAAAAATGCAATAACTGAAATGAAAAATTCACTGAAGAAATTCAGAAGATTTGAACTGGCAAAAATAGTAGTAAATTTGAAGATATATCCATAGAAGTATGTGTGCCAAATCATAGAAAAAAGAATAAAGAAAAATAGAACCTCATGTAATGATAGGACATAGTTACATATATGAACACATATGTAATAGAAATATCAGAAAGAATATAAATAAATAAAAGAGAAGCAATATTTGAAGAAAAAGTAGCTAAAAAAACTTCCCAAATTTGTTCAAAAACAACAACCTACACATCCAGGAAGCTCAATGAACTTTAAGTAGCATAAATTCAAAGAGAACCACAAACAGACACATTGTAATAAAAATGCTGAAAGCCAAGGACAAAGTAAAAGTCCTGAAAGCAGTAAAAGAAAAATAAATCACTACTTACAAGGAAACCCCAATAAGATTAATAGCTGACTTCTCAGCAGAAACGGTAGAGTACAGTTGGCTGTGTGATAGCATATTCATAGTGCTCAAAAACAAAAAAGCCTACCAACTATGAATTCTATAACCACCAAAGCTATGTTTCAAAAATAAAGAGGAATTAAAGACATTCCCTAAAATTTAAAAAAATAGAACTAAGAAAATATGATGACAACAAACTTATAACAAGATATAGTAAAGGATATCTTCAGGCAGAAAGATACTAACTATCTTTAGTTATACTAACTAACTATATATACTAACTAACTATAGATAGCAATTCAAATCTACATGAAAAAAATGGGGTTTAAGTAAAGGTAATTATTTATCAAAAATAAAATTTTTAGGAATAAATTTAACATAATGAATATAAAACAAATATCTAAAAACCATAAAATATTATTTTAAAAAATTAAAGTTCTAAGTAAATGGAAAATATTTCATGTTCATGGAGCAGAAAACAATATTGCTAAGAGAAGTAGACACCTTGGATTGAGCTACAGATTCAATACAGTCTCTTTCAGAACTGCAGATGACTTCTTTATAGAAATTGACAAGCTTATTCTAAAATCCATATGTAATTGCAAGCTGTCAATAATAGTCAATACAATCTTGTAAAGAAAGAACAAAGTAGGAGAACTCACACTTCCTTATTTCAAAATTTACCACAAAGCTATGTTAATTAAAACAATGTGCTATTGACATAAATATAGACTCATAGACCAAAGAAACAGCATTGAGAGTTCAGAAATAAACTCATATATCTATGATCAATTGTTTTGTGACAAGAGTATCAAGACCATTCAATAGCAAAGAATAGTCTCTTCAACAAATGGTGCTGGGATACCTGGATAGCCACATGCAAAAAAACAGAAGAAGTGGACCCCTACCTCATACCATACACAAAAACTAACTCAAAATGGATCAATTACCTAAATATAAGAGCTAAAACTATAAAACTCTTAGAAGAAAATATAAGAATAAATCTTTGTGACTTTAGATTTGACAACAGTTTCTTAAATAGGAATCAAAAGTGTAAGTAACAGTGATAAAAATAGATAAATTGTACTTCATCAGAATTAAAATATTTTTGTATCAAAGAACACTATCCAGAAAGTGAAAAGACAAATCACAAGATGGGAAAATATTTTCTTTTTTTTTTTTTTTTAATGAACACTGATTGCAACTTTATTTTATTTTTTATTTATTTTTTTATTATACTTTAAGTTTTAGGGTACATGTGCACATTGTGCAGGTTAGTTACATATGTATACATGTGCCATGCTGGTGCGCTGCACCCACTAACTCGTCATCTAGCATTAGGTATATCTCCCAATGCTATCCCTCCCCCTCCCCCCACCCCACCACAGTCCCCAGAGTGTGATATTCCCCTTCCTGTGTCCATGAGATCTCATTGTTCAATTTTCAAATAATATATCTGATGTGGATCTAGTTTCCAGAATGTATAAAGAACTGTAATAATTCAATGAGCAAATAATAATACAATTTTAAAATGGGCAAAGGACTCTTTATTCAAAGATATACAAATGAATATAAATGGACAACAAGCACGAAGAAAGATGCATGACATCACTGGTCATTTTGAAAATGCAAATCAAAACCACTATGTGATAATACTTCATACCCAGAAGGAGACCATAATAATAAAAAATTTTTAAACGGCAAAGAGTCTTGTTGAGGATAGGTAAAATGGTTCAGTCGCTGTAGAATCTGTCTGCTATTCAAAAAGTTAAATATAGAATTACCAAATGAACCAGTAATTTCACTGTTAGGTATATATCCAAAAGAAATTGAAATGTAGGTTCATAAAAAACTTGTACGTGAGTTTTTCTAGCACCATTATTTATAAAAGCCAAAAGGGAAACAGCTCAAATGTCCATTGGTAAATAATGAATAAACCAATTGTGATACATGCATACAATGAATCATTATTCAGACATCAAAAAATTACTGATACATGCCACAACATTAATAAAACCCCTAGAACATTGCTAAGTGAAAGAAGCCAGACAGAAAAGTTCACATGTCATCCTATTCTGTTTTTCTGAAACATTCAGAATAGATAGTATAGAAACAACAACAACAAAAATGATGGTTGTCTTGACAGGGAGAAGAAGAGGAGTACTCCTCAATGATACAGAGTTTTGTTTTGGAGTGAAGGAACTGTTTTTTAACTATAAAGTGATGGGCGCTGCACAACATTCTGATTATACTAAATGCCACTGAATTTCTCGCTTTAAAATGGTTACTTTTATATGAATTTCACCTCAATAAATTTTAGCAGATAGAGACATGAAGCAGATTAGTGATTGTGTAAAGCTGAGGGGTGGAGGAGATAGCTAAAACATATGTGATTTCTTTTTTACATGATAAAAATCTCAAACACCTACTGTGGTAATGTTTGTACATACAGGTAAATATATAAGATATACTGACTTGTCCTCTTTTAAAAGAGTCAATTGTATGATATTTGAATTATATCTCAATAAATCTGTTAAAAAGGGATCCCATACTTAGTATGAGTTTTCCCTTGGCGTTATAACAAATTATGACAAACTTGATTTAAATCACCATAAAATTATCTTATAGGTCTTTAGGTCCAAAGTCTGATATGGGTCTCCCTGGCGTAAAAATAAGGTGTCCACAGGGCTGTATTCACCTCTGAAGGCTCTAGCCGTGGATCTATTCCCTCCCTTTTCAGGTTGTTGACGGAATTCAGTTTCTTGCACATAGCCTCCTATATCTCAGAGTCACAACAGTGTGGTGGAGTTTTATAATGTAGTCACTTTCTCTGACCACAGAGTATCTGCTTATAAGAGCTCATATGATTAGTTTAGGCCTGCCAGGATAATCCCAGATAATCCTCCCTCTTCAAGGTCTGCAACCTTATTCACATCTACAAAATCCCTTTTGCTGTGTGAAATAATGTATTTGCAGGTTCCGGTTCTGCCTATCATATATGCCAAAACAAAAAGTTGAATATTCTTGTTACAAAATGTAAGCAAATAATGTTCTGACCTTAAGGAATAAAAAACATTCTTAAACAAAACTCAGAAAGAGTTCATCTAAAAGAAAAGATTGATCTACTTGCCTATGCTGAAATTAAGGAGATCGTAATAAACTAAGGACTAAGTCCTAAGAAACGTATGCAGAAATGTTTAATATTGTTACTGATAGTGTAAGATTTAACTAAGACCACAATATCAGTTGATACTCATTTTACTGGTAAAAATTTAAAAGTGTGACAATGACAAGTATTAGAGAAGATGTGAACCATCAGATTCTCTTATAAATTGCTAGTGAAAGATAAATTATAGCAACCATTTTTTAAAAACAGCATAATATTATTTCCTGCTATGCTTTGAATATAAAAAAAAAATCTCCTCCAGAATTCAGGTGTTGGAACTTAATGGCCAATATAATGATATTGACAGATGGGACTTTTAAGAGGTGATTAGATCATGAGGGCTCCTCCCTTCATGATTGGGACTAAGGCCCTTATAAAAGAGGCTTCAAGCACCATTTGCTGATCTTTCCCTTCTGCCTTTTGCCATGTGGGGACACAGCTTTTCTTCCCTCTGGAGCATGCAGCAACAAGGCACCATCTTGGAAGCAGAAAGTGACCCTCTCCAGACAACAGAACCTACCAGCACCTTGATGTTGGATTTCCCAGCCTTCAGAACTGTGGGAAAATACATTTCTCCTCTTCATAAATTACTCAGCCTTAGGTATTTTGCTATAACTGCACAATAAACTAAGATATTTCCTAAAGCTGAGTGTTTCTATACCATAAAATCCACTGATTCTAGTCCCACTCTTGTATATACACACCAAAAAATGCATACAAGAATGTTCACAGAAGCCCTGTTTACAACAGCAAAAGGAAACAATCCAAATATCTATAAGGCAGATCACATCTGCATTATATTCATATAGTAGAATATTATGCAGTGCCTAAGCTGTCTAAAACAATGACACATAACAATGTGGATACATCTTAACAGTGTAATGCTGAGTGGAAAAACTAAGTCCCAAAAAAAGTGTGTGTGTGTGTGTGTGTGTGTGTGTGTGTGTGTGTGTGTGTTTGTGAATGGGATTATATAGCTGCAATGAAACTAAAGGGAAAAAAAGTGTTTTAGGTTACTTGTAGAATGGTGGATGCTATAGTTTGAATGTTTGTCTGTCCCCTCCTAAATTCATTTTGAAATTTAATTACTATTGTAACAGAATTAAAAGGTGGGGGCTTTAAGAGGTGATTAGGCCATGAGGGCTCTGCTTGCATAAGTGGATTCATTTAGTTCTTGCAGGAGTGAGTTCATTACAAAGGGACAAGTTTGGTCCCCTTTTTTCTATCTCTCTTGCCCTCTCTTTGCTCATCTGCCACAAGGTGATGCAGCAAGAAGGCCCTTGCCAGATGTCAGCCCCTTGATCTTGGACTTCCCAGACTCCAGAACTGTGAGCCAAATAAATTTCTGTTTATTATAAATTATCCAGTCTGTGGTATTTAGCATAAAATAGACTAAGACAGTAGATCTCTAAATCTCATTATTAAATTATATTACATTGAATTGTAAAATATAAATGCAGAAAGGGGTATTAATGGACAAATGATTAGATTAGATTGTGTTATAAACCAAAGATTATAGTTATTCCAATTATGTGCATTTGAGATCCACTTAAAATTCATTCCTCATTGCTCATTTTTAAAAATATCGGGACATCCTTCCTTCTCTATCTTATTTTCATTACCCTGATTATACATATTTAGTTGTTTCAAGTCCCAAAGTAGACTTGTTTTTTTCATTTAGTGATATGACTGGCTATATAAATAGTCCATAGTAAATAATGCCTCAAAGAAAACTTTTATCATCAAAGATTTTTCTTATGAACCAGTTTTAATGCTTATTACAATATCTAATTATATCAAATAGACATGGCCTTCATGGAAACTATACTACTTTGCTGGTGCCTTTCAGTCAATAATTTCTTAGTCAATTTTTAAGTGTTAATATTGTTTAAAAATGCAGCAGTCCATAGCAATCTTTCAGAAGTCATCGTATTTCAGAGCAACTAATACCAGAGAGTCCACCCAAACGTATGTATTTGTCATCTGAGCAAGAACCTAAACAAGCAACAATAATACATGGAAATTCCTGACCTGAGTAGCCCAGGTGATCTCACATACCTAACCTTGTCTCTTAGACAAACACACTTTCTCCAAGAAAGAATCTTTTAAAACCTGTCTCCTCCAAGAAGTTTACACTCAGTTAATATACAAATTGATGAGCCTATGTGTGTGTGTGTTTGCATATATGCATACATATATTTGTGCGTCCCTCACATTCTCACTTTTAGCAAGACTTTTGTGGTCTAAATATTTTAGTTTAAAGAAACATAAAATGATATGAGAGTACAAGGAAAGGAGAATGCAATAAGAAGTGTTATATTATACTTTTTGCCTCCTACCTGATTGCTTTCCATTGGTTAAAAGTTATAACTGTGCCTTTTGTTATGTGACTGTGTGTGGTTGTTTAATTGCCAGCAATTCAAATAACAAATCTCTTGACCTCTGCTGACTCTTGCCAAAGTTGATTAATTTTTCTCAAAGAGATATTTTACTTTGAGTTAGTCATTGCATGTTTCTGAACAAAGAAGTGGGAGCAGAGAACAAGGACAAAAGATAAAAGGCTTTTTAAAGAGCAGTCATATCATATGACAAAACCTTATGTTTCAAATGACTGAAAAATATATTTGATTTTTCCCAACAGCGTAAAGAATCTTGTTAAACTTAATTGAGATATTTCAGAACTGGTATATTTTAAAATTGTCTTTTCTAAAGTTTCTATATGTAGGAGGGATGCTTTCTTCCATCTTTAAGTGGAATTGCAGCTACTACCTTATATTTGAATGTCCATCAAGTGAGGCAGGAAGACCTCTAATTTATATGATTGTTTTCTACCTGTGGAGTCCTAGAAAGAACAGGCATTATTTTTAGTTAAATGTAATTTTTACCAAGGGGGCCAACAAGTATGAATTACCAAGATTTGGATACTGCTGCTAAGTGGAGCTTTGCCAGAATTCAAAGTTGGGGATCCCTATAATCAGAAAGCGCTAAATGCCGCAACCACAGGGATGTACTCCAAGGGGTAGTCTATGAGAGCAGCGAGGGCTGCCACGTAGCTAGCTGTGCAGCTTAGCCCTAAGTGATGGAGATAGTTCAGCAAAACCTGAGACTTGTCAAAAGGGTGGGTTATTACAATAATACAACCCTTTCTGTATCACAGTCTGGTAAGGGCTGGGGATGTACAGGTTAAATAAGTCATATAACCACTTTGCACAACTGCAAAAACTCGGAAAGCCCCTTTTGTCGTGAACTCTGAAGTTGCTTCTACGTAAAACATGCTTAAATCATAATAACAGCAAGAGAAACCCCCATAGCAACACTCAGTGCTTCTGGTTTATTCATCCCATTCAACCCTTAGCAAGAAGTATCAATATTATTCACTGGACAAACTGCATATTCATCACTGGGGTCTGAGTCTCTTCATCTTTGATGATTTAAATCCTTGGGAGCAAAAAGTAAAACTTCAGTTCTTAACCCATTCTCTGCCTGACTTACATTCTGCAATTTCCTTTCTCCATATTATCTGAAGTAAAACTTCAGTTCTCCATGTATCTGAAGTAAAACTTCAGTTCTTATCCCATTCTCTGCCTGACATACATTCTGCTATTTCCTTTCTCCATATTATCTTTTCAAAACCACTTGAGTCTCTGCTCCTCCATGGACACATCTCCCAACCACAAGGTTCCATTATATCTCTGAACAACCCCATCAGTTCTTTCCTTGTTTAACATACACTTGAGGAAGTTGTAACATTCTATTTTGCATGCACACTAATTAGAGTAATTTCTGTCCACCCAGCATTTTAAAAGACTTCTCAATGCCTGAAAGTCATTTTCCTCATCATCGTTATCTGGCAAAGACACATAGCAGTTGACCAATAAATATAGATCGACTTCATGATCAGAAAAATATCTTTGCCCTTTTTTATGCATTCAAATTTTATTAGTAATTGTAGTTTTAGCTGAATAGTGCACACGCAGGAAAAAATCTATACTTTAAGAATATTCACTACCTAATTAGAATGCCTCCTCACTCCAACCAGTGGCATAAATGTCATATCTTCATATTTAATATCCCTATTTCTTTTCTATGTGTGCACATACATAATTTTTCAAATAAATTTGATCTATCTCATGGTGCAAAGTGTAACTATTTCTAATTAGTTTGATCAAAGATACCATAGTCAGTGCTGAGTAATGGAAATTATGCCAATAAAAATTCTATTGCTTCTGACAAGGGGAAAAATGACCATACATTGATTCAGCCCTCCCAGCCTTCCAGAAAAACATTTACATGTGATGTTTTTATAAGGGCACATAAATGTCTATATAGTCACAGTTTGTAATATTCCTAAATGCCCTGCAGCAGAAGCAGCAGGAGAGGAAGCTATTTCTGCTGACTCTTTTATTATCTGTGCCATTTTCCACTCTAGACTATCGCAACTTTAACTCTTGCACTCTCTGTAAGGTTGGATGGGGCAAACAAAGAAATGGACTGACCATAAGGAGATCCAGTATTGCTCTCTTATGTGATGTTGCATTCTGGAGATCTTGATGTCTGAAAAAAAAAAACAGAATATCTTTACCAAATAATGGCTTATGAGTATTTGTTGAGGGAAGGAAGTAAACTAACATGATTATTAAGTATATAACATTTGTGGGAAAGTCAGTGGAAATGAGCTGAAGTCAAGTATCTAGGTTCAGATCAAGAAATGACTGATACTTCCAGAGTATCAGAGACTGGGAACAAAACAAATTTTAAAAGGGACTACCTACAGCAGGTATGGAGCAGAAATATATATAGTTACTGCATAAGATGCCTTTTGGAGATCAATAATAAGACACAGTCTAAACAAACAGGTTCTGGGAGGGACTGAGGTTTCACCAGCCTTGGCGGTTACCTTTGCAGCCAGAACTATCTGAGTTCAAATCCTTCTGTTAGGTATCATACAATTTTCATCAGGTGTGTCAGGTGTGCTGAATCTTAGTTTCTTCATCTAGAAAAGATGTCAAGCAAAGTACCATGCATATGAGAGATGCCTCATAAATGAAAGATTTTTTGTCTTCTTTCCCCTCATATTTACTAATTTTTTATTCAATAAATAATTAATGAGGATGAACTGATTTCAATGAGATGGGAAACAGACATCTACAGTTCAAATGTAATCCCTTTTTATATAAAGCTTGTAGTCTGATGAATAAGTTAGAAACTGATAACATAATTATCAAGTAAATATTAACTTGCAATTCTTATATCATGTATTAAAGGAAAAAAACAGAGTGGTGTACCAGGGACCTAAGTCTGAGTTTTCACAGAAGACTTCCTTGCAGCATTGGCATTTATGGCAAGATAAGAAGCATAAATAAGACTAAGCAAGGGAAAAACTTTCCAAAGTAGAAACCAGAGCCTATGTGAAAGCCTAGAATCCTAAAGCATTTTGGCAGGTCTTAGGAACAGATAAAAGGTCAGGATGGATGTAGCATAAAAAGCGGAAGTGCAAACTGCATGAGATAAGGCAGAAATGGTAGGCAGGTTATGCATGTATTAATTGCATGAGTTTTAATAATTACATGTAAAACTATGAGATTTTATTCTTACTGTAGTCGGAAGACTCTAAAAGTAACTAAATTAGAGAGTAATGTGATCAAGCTTTTATTTAAAAAGTACATTATTCTAGCTATCTGGTAGATAATCATAAAAGCACAAATTAATATGTGGGGAAAATTTTTAGAAGCCTTTTCTTATATTTAGGTGAAAGTTGATGACAGTTTGGAATGAAATGACAGTAAGAGGCAAAAATTTCAGTAATAGTTTTGATACGTAAGAGACTTGAAAAAATTGTGTTTGATTGAATATTGGGGCTATAATGGGGAGAAGGTGGAAATAACATCCATAGATAATTTTCAAAAAGTTATTACTGTGAAGAAAGCTGAGAAGTAGATCATAGCTTAAAGGAAATGCTGGGACTAAGAAGTCTTCTTGTTATTGTTTCAGTTGTGGTTTCTAACTTGGAAACCTTATGGCAAGCCTATGGACTGATATATACAGAGGTGTATATTCAATATGCAGAAGAGAAAAAGGAATACTTGAAAAAAACAAAGTCTTTAAAAATGTGGGATGGGCATCCAAACACCAGAAGGTGTTCCAGCTTATTCACTTGAAAAGGAGGGGAACTAGATAGGAAGAGTGAAGATGAACATCAGGTGGACGGACATCCAGCAGTGTGAAGATGAGACAACTCCTGAATTAGCTGAGAGTAGAGGGCAAAGGATGGGTTTTAAGTAGTTGGAAGAATGAGACAAAACATGGATGGTTTAAGATTATAGGAAAACAAACCTCCTAGAGAAGTGAAATGATATTTCCAAGCCATATTGTTACCACATTCAATTTTTGGTGATGAATTTAAATTGGGACCAGTCTTTATGGGTTTAACCAGGGTTAGAATTTGTCAGGAGATTTTTTTGTTTGTTTCCCATGGACTTAAGGATATTTACAATGAGGTGATAAATATGATGGACTGGGGAACCTAAGCCAGGTAAAGAGGGTGGCAAAAACATGAGAGGAATAATAGAATAAAAGGTTTTATGAGTAAAGTTTGCGATCCTCAATAAGTTCAAGAAAATGTTAGAGTGGGAGATGTGCAGCACTAGGCCGTAAGATCGGGTGGAAATAACCAGATATCAACAATTGCGTATTTCCTGCTGATGACATAGTCAAGAATGTGACACAGTAGGGTAGAGGAAATATTATTGGGTGAGAAGTCACGTAATTGGAAGGCCATGGATTAAAATATGTAAAGAAAATCAACACACAACATATGAAGTCTAAGGAGTTTTTACAGTAGCTAAGGAATGGAAGACATCAGTTACAAATAAACTTATAAGGAAGGACATGGGATGGCCATTTAACTTGGCCTGGAAAAAAAATAGTTCCCCAATATACTACCTAAGTCAATGGATATACCACTATACCTCAGTTACTTAAATCGATCAATCTATGAAAAACCACACATTATTCATGGGCTATTTGCTTCTTAGAAACCATGCACCCTAATCTACTTCATGTTACAATAGAAAGACTAATACAGAAAAAGAAAGTGTTTCCCAAAGTTACATCTTAAATTTTTAGGAAACTTAGGACTAAAACTCACTCGAGCTTTCTTTCTATACCGTCAAAACATTATTTCCCAATCTCACAGTGCAAATGTTTGAGGTTTTCAAAGTGGGCCAATAATACTTCCCTTTCTCTCTCCTGTCCTGAATAAGTTAGGAAAAAGAACAAATAGTAATGCAGATATGAAAAAATCATTTCATTACTTATAAAATCTAAATTATAGCAGCTTAGTCCCCAAAATTGAGCACACTCAGTATACTTATCCCAGATTTAAAAACTGCTAAGTGATAAGTCATTCACCTGAAATGAAAGAGTTGATGGAACAAAGAGAAGCCAGAAGTGTTAAACTAATTAACATCCCTTGACATGTAAAGAGCTATCAGGAGTAGAGAATTAGTATCTCCAAATACCAAAGACCTCTCTATCAGTAATGGGGAAATAAACAGAGGGAACTCCTCAAATTTGTAAATAAAGTAAATAATATTGACAATTCAAATAGGATATACCAAAAAGTAAATAATAAAAACGTACTTTAAAGAGGTGTAAGTGACTTTCAGAATCATAACCAAGTCAGAAGAGTATGCAATTCTGAAGGTGAGTGGACAGTTTTGAAAGACTGGAAGGCAGGGGGAGAATTGCAGAGATGCAAAAATGCCAGTGCCCATTTCTCTGCTATACAAGAGATTGAATACATTAGGCAAAACTCTTTTTTGAGTATTGCAGCTGTAATCTTGAAAATATCCCTTTTGACAAGGTGGATTCTACCTTCAATTTTAGCCATTGAATAACAAATCCATCTTTTAATTTTATGCTCATGATATATGATATTACATCTTATATAGTTATGATTACAGAGAGAGATTGTGCAGGATATGTTGGCTCAAGAATTTCCCACTTCTTTTATTTCCCATATGAGATCAATAAATGAGCACTTTATACAAGCACATTCATTTATGGGCTTGGTGGATGTGGGTCAACTCTAATAAGGAGAAAAACTTTCACTAAACTCTCAAAAAATATATTTCTGCCTGAGAACTAAGCCCCAAGCTAGCCTTTCTGGCCATACCTGAATAACATATACAATATTTCTATTTTAAATTTCATCATGAAATGGAATATTTACTCCACAGTATCTTACATTGAAAGCACAGACCAACTCTTTGCAGCATTAATCAATTCAATGCAGAGAATGAAGATTCAGGAACTCCAGGATCCTTATTTTACCATAGTAATTTTAATCCCATCTCCCTACTTCTTCATGGGAATGATCCACCTTGGAATTCCTTTGGCTCCTTCTTTTTCCCTATTGTCAGAATATCCCTTTTTTTTCTCAATATATTTTTCTTCTTTCACTTCCAAAAACAAAATATAGTATGTGACTTGAGGGAGGAATTTTCAGAGAGTGTGAGGCATACTGTCAATTCTATTTTTGTATACCCCAAGATGAAAGAAATCAGGAGCACATGTTGTCTCTAAGAAACTTCTCGGGCTGGTACTGATACACAGCAGTTGCATTTTTTGCTAGGTATAATTTGTTTGTATTTCCCTATGAAATCCAGTTTAAACTAAAACAATGTGCTCCTTTATGAAGAAAAATCAATCAGAAACAAACTGCTTTCAAAGTAGTAAGGAAAGTAGAATGGGAGATTGCATCCACATCGCTTTGCTTGATGGGCCAAACTTTCACAAGCTTCTGGTCATTCTTTTTACTTTTCTCCCATTGGATACATCTGAGAATTTAAAGGAAATAATAACATGATCAGAAACTCCAACCTGCTCTGGGGCAGGAAATCAAAGCCCTATATACCATTGAAAAATCCATTTGATTAATGATTGGGGAGACATCCAAGATTTGTGTACAGGCAGCAGAGCAGAGTCAGAGTGGCATGAAGAGACTAAAGGTCTGCAAGTGCTCAGGATCAAAGAAATAAGAACACCCTGCTTACCCTTGCCAGGTAATAGAGTGTGTCCTCCAGAAACACACCATGGCTATCTCAGATGCCATGTAGCCACATGGAAAGCAGTAGTGAGGATTTATGGTTTAAGTAAATTACTTTCAGAAGTCGTGTTTCGAAGCGATTAGTGTGGAACAAATAGTCTGAAAAATCTGGGGACAGAATACTTATTTCTGTAAGCAAGTCAATGGGATAAGAGACAGTGTAGCAACTTCACCTCTTAAAATCACTATTTTGCATTTGAGCTATGGTACTATAGTACAAATATCGCACTCAATACAATTAGCAATTAGATGAGTAAACACGCCCAAGCTAAAAGCAACACCCTATTTTTTCTTCTTACCAGAGAAGACACTTATTTTATAAGTAAAAGTTTGGTCAATTATAATTGAGAGCAGCAAAACAACCCTTTCCCTAATGCAAATTAAAACTGTTTTAGAGTTTCCATTAAAGTAGTCAAAAAAATCTAACCTGAGTCATCATGGCAGAATGGAGTTGTATCAGTCAGGAGAGGCCAGGTAACAACCTCAATCAGTTAGAAGAACCTAAACTAACAACCCCAAACTCTCAGTGGCTGAAAAACAAAGTTCATTTTTTTTTCTCATACCGTATGTTCATTGAGTTAGGCCAGAGACCTATACTCATTGTAGCCATTCTAGGAAACAGGATAACAGACGCTCAACAGAACTATGACATCACTCTCTCACCATGTGCTTCCTTGGTTGCAATCTCTGTGGCTGAAGATGGAAAAGCACTGGCCTATTTAATGTTCTAGTTTGAAAAATATACTCACCACTTCTACTCACATTTGCTTGGCCAGAACTATTGACCCGATCATGCCGAACTTTCAAGTGGGTGGGGAATTAGAATTCTTCCTGAACCCACATGTAAATGAGTTCAGACATTAGTGAATAATATTAGTGACTATTTGTAATACCTTCCACGATTCAGTATTCTAGTCACTACATATTTGGTTGTCTTTCAACTCCTCTCCAAGGAGGTATCCCAAAGTCCAGCACATGCATGTGATGAAAGGTGGTATTTACAACTAGTTCAGATGTGTGTCCTCTTGTTCAGGGAATTAAGAACTGAAAAACAAGCTATCTGTGTTTAATAACCCTGTATACATTGGTGAAACCAGAACAGAAAAAGAGCAATAAATTTTCATTCACTTCAGAAAGAAGAATGGGAAACATACAGTAGTCACTGGTTCATAGCAATTCTGAAGTTTCATTGAACAGGCATTATCAGGGATCCTCTATTAAGAAAATATCCTTCTGTGCCTTTTCATATTTCCTCAAATGCTTATTTTATTTCTCTCTGGTAGTAACCCTTCCGTGCTGAGTAGCCTTTCTGTTTTCAGACAGTAGTGAAATGTTACACTGCAGAGTACTGAATAGGATTTTATATGAGGCATCCTAGGTGTCAGATGAGGAGAATATAAACCACAAGCAAGGAGGAGTTAGCCCCTAATGGAATGATCTTTGACCAACAGGCAACAGGAAAAATGAAGGAATCCTCCTTTCTCTTACCCATGTACTATTTCAAAGTATGATTACAACCCTTGACCCCTTTCCAAGAACTACTTTTGGAGTAGTACATGGAAAAGAGGAAAGATAGAACATTTATGTTTGGTTGTCTTCCTTCTCCCTATTGACAAACATAAATATGTAGCAACTTAATGAAAAGAAGAGAATCAAACACTGGCCATTAAATGCTTTAGACAAGACGTGAAACTTTTCTCTCCTTCTCTCTTTTCATTCCCTAGAAAAAGTAACATGGTTATATACAACTTCAAGGGTTAAATAATTATAATTCTTCATGTGCCTGGAAGAAGAGGAGAGGAAAATGAGATGTCAGGGAAAATGAGTAACATCTACCACAGATGCCCTCAGTGTTCAGACTTTCCAGCTCTTCTCCTACCTGTGGCTCTATGCGTAAATGAGGCCAAGGTCTCCACCACCCTGGAAATGTCCTTAAGCCACTTTCCAGCATTCTGAAAGCTAAGCCTCTCTCTGTCTTCAGGGATGGATTGCTCCCATATCCACTAATATTCGGGTTAGGAACCCTTGGGACATCAAGATTCATGCTTGAAAATATTAAGAGATTTTTACAAAGCCGTAGTCATTCTGAGTTTAACATTGTTCACTCTATGAGAGAAGTGGTTCCAAGTACTGAAAAGTCAAAACAAAAAAAGCAAAACCAAACAAACAAAAAACCTCACATTTCTCAAAGTACAGTAGAACAGAATGCAAATTATTATGTTAGTATAATATTCTGCCACACTTTCAGTAGTGAAAAGAATACACAGCACGAGGTCTTACAGATCTGTGTCTAATGCTAGCTTTTATCCTATTTCCCAGCACGCTACATTCTGAAGGACAAATTTTTTAGGTCTCTACATTTTAATATTTTCACAACATTTTCTAAAAGTAGAAAATTCTTCAAATGTTCTGTGTGAACTAACCAAAAATATATAGCTATCATCACAATAAATGGTTTACCATTTTAGTTTCCTTTACTTCTTACTAAGAAAGATGCTAAGGAATAATCATTTTAGTACTTAAAAAATGTTGATTTTAGGCTATTAATTGTATTTTGTATGAAACGTAACTTATTTGTAGAAAAGTTACTAAAACTTGGTTAAAATCATTTTGGTATTCATGTTTTTATTTTCTTCTATTTTTGTTTCTTTTTCTTTTTGGATAAAAGTTTCCAACTAAGCTTAGAATATTCCCTAGGATTTTTATTTTCTGGTCACTACTGTATAGCTGGATGAAAAAGGAAACAAACATTTGCATACATACATACATATTCGTAATTACTTATAATGCTGCTTTACATTTGTATAATTTCTTAGCTTAAAAAACACATAAATATATATGATCTTATCTAATTTTCACACTCTTTAAATACCAATATAGAAATGAGAAAACTGTAGATCACTTGAGTTAAGTGGTATTTCCAATATACAGATGACATGGGTCAGATTCAGGACAAACTCAGGTTTTTAGCCTTCAAATGTAAAAGTAACTTTTTCTTTCTTTAAATTGTCTTTTTTTATTATCTGTTTGTTTTTGACCATGAAAAGATAACAGTACAAAGCCCTAGTGGGGAGAAAAAAAATTAGACAAAATCCACAATTTTTTTTTCCATGGGAAATTTAATGTCTATCTGGATAGATAAGTTGAAATCTCTAGGCCCGGGTGCTGTGGCCTGTAATCCCAGCATTTTGGGAGGCCGAGGTGGGTGGATCACCTGAAGTCAACATGGTGAAACCCCGCCTCTACTAAAAATACAAAAATCAGCTGGGTGCTGAGGCACATGCCTGTAATTCCAGCTATTCGGGAGGCTAAGGCAGGAGAATCACTTGAACCTGGGAGGTGGAGGTTGCAGTGAGCCGAGATCATGCCACTGTACTCCAGCCTGAGCTATAGAGCAAGACCCCATCTCTAAAATAAATAAATAAAATATTCTAATTTTTTAAGTGTCATTTTACATGGTCTGTGAGTAAATGCAGAAAAGCAGTAGTATTTGAAGGATTCAGAAAGATCTGTGAGATGGAGTGTGGTAGGAGATGATAAAACAAAGATAAGACACTAAGTCCTCAGAGTTCCATTGGTTCAGAAATTTGAAAACATTTTAGACATCCAGGACCATATAGACAAAGCAAGCAGTTCATGATTGTATTCAAACAATTAAAACAATTACATTTTTGGTGGACACAATGTAAAGACTAAGATGCTGCTCCTTTTAGCTCTTCTTCAAGTAAAAGAAATTGATGAAATTAATGTACAATGGCTATGGCCACAGATGCCATTTTATAATTTGTATTTCATGTACTAAAACATTAAAGAAAAAACTGTTTAAAGAAAAACACAACTTTCCTTACTGGAGCTCTGCATATACCCAAACCCTGTTCCTGAGAGGAACAGGGGAAATTTTTGTATCTATTTTGTTTCTTCCCTTATTGATTTCCAAATTTTATGTCTAAATAATATAATTATACTGTTGCGTGTTTTTTTAATTTCTTAATTTTAAACATGGTCTGTTGACTTCTGGTTGTGTTCATGGGGATGTAACTCATTCTATGTGCTTCTATTCTGTGGTTATGTTATTATTTAAGGTTAAATCAGTTATCAGGGTTTATATTATCATGACTACGTATCATTTACTGCAGAGACAAAGGGTACTATGCTTATGAGCCCTTTTCTCTTTTTCCCAATTATTAATTTTTCATTTATTTTACTTACTTAGTATTATATGTACTTACCACTTTTCCACAAATGTTTCAATATATCAACCAATCATATAGCAATACATTTCCAAAGGCTCAAACATGTTTAACAATGTATCAGGCTTTTTGTTTTCACCTTCTTCTTCCATCTACTACTCCTCAACAAGAATCTTCTTGCAGTTCTATTCCCTGACTGGTCTTGTTTGCTTTACATGAGTCCAGTTGTTCTGTCTGCCTATTGAACAACTGCTGCCCAGGGACCCCCCACCATTCTTCTGTGTTGGGTCCACTGATTCTGCATTCTTTCTTTTTATTGGTCTTGAATTATTGTCCTTTCGACTTGGCATGGAAGTCTAAATTGAAAAATAATTCCATTTCTCTTGGAATTTTGAAAGCATTATTTTATCTGTCCCTCAGGCTCTTGGAATGCTTTTATTTTAAAATTTAAGCTAACATGTTCATTTTTGAAAGCAATATCTTATTGTCTGATTATTGGTTTTCTAGCATCCTTTTCTAACAGATGTGTTATTTGTCTTCATCTCTCTGAGATATATGATTAGCTCTCTGAAATTATAGAATATTTTAAGTTTTCCTTTTGACCTCTTGTTTTTTTCCTTTGGGAATCTTTCATATTGAACGTTTTCTTAAAATGCCAATCATTCTTGACACCCCAGTTATATTTCAAGGGCTGACTGGAAGTTTTGTGTGCATGAAAATCCATATTGGAAGGACTTTCAATAAGAGATATCAGGCAAAGAACCGAATATTGGTGACTTTACCCACAAATGCCAGTTTCTCCAAAGAGGAAGCCTATAGTCTTCTGCCTGGAGCATTTTCACCTGTCCACCAGAATACCAAGAATAGAATGGAGAAAGTGGCTTCAATCCCCAACACTCAGCATGTGATATTTAGTTCTATATCTCATCCCCAACTTCTACTGTGCCTAATGGACCAGAGACTGCAGCTTTTAGCATTTGACTTTTCCGCAGAATATACCACTGGTCCTCCGTGGGTTGAGAGGAGGAATTATTGACTGTGTTTGGGTAGACCTATCAAACAACTCCCTGTTTTAGCTATTTTTTCATGCTCATCTTCTGTAGTACTTGAAGATTCCCATTTCTGAATCTTTATTGAATCCTAGAGTATAATAATCTTGCTTTATATTACTGTCCTCTGCTGTTAGTTTCCTCTCTTTTTCTAAGCCCTCATTTTTCTTCTTCCAATACTGCATTGACATCTCCTGTTCATTATTATTCTGCCTTTCCATTCTTTCTAATTTTGTGAATTTATGAATTTTAAATTAATTTGTCATTTGCTATTGTACAGTAAACATACCTGATAGCAATAACTTAAGCATATCCTGAGAATGACACTGGATGGCAGATGCATCTGAATATGGTTCAGAGTGCTGAGCTAAGGGATCCAGGAGTGGCCAACCCAGGAAAACATTCCTAATCTATGAGGAACATCTGAGCACCAGTCTGTTCCATGGGTAGGTCATACACAGGATGGAGACCTTTTGTTTTATGGTGAACAAAGGTTGCCAGGTGAAGGTTGTTAGGGGGAGGATGCTAAGTGAAAAATGCTGCATACACTGCATGATTTTGCAAGAAGTTCTGGTTCTCCTGTTCAGCCCACTACCACTGGACTCTCTCCCTTCTATGTAAGCCCCCAGTAAAACCCTGTGTCTCGTTCACTGACTCTGGGTCTCTTCTTCAGCCTCTTGAACCTGGTGCGATCCCTATTGGAGTTGTTGACAGGCATTCAGCACAATAGCTTTGTTCACTCAGAAATCTAGGTTAGTGATTTAACCTTTTTTTTTTTTTTTTTTTGGGACAGAGTCTCACTCTGTCACCCAGGCTGGAGTGCAGTGGCGCTATCTCAGCTCACTGCAAGCTCTGCCTCTCGGGTTCACACCATTCTTCTGCCTCAGCCTCCCAAGTAGCTGGGACTACAGGCATCCGCCATCATGCCCAGCTAATTTTTTGTATTTTTAGTAGAGACAAGGTTTCACCGTGTTAGCCAGGATGATCTCAATCTCCTGACCTTGTGATCAACGCGCCTCGGCCTCCCAAAGCGTGGGATTACAGGCGTGAGCCACTGCGCCTGGCCTAATCTTTTTTTCTAACACAACACACTGAAGAACATAATTCTATCCATCATAGTGTCATGGAGAGATTTTCAAAATATGAAGAAAAGGAAGTCATATCAGAATCACTGAGAAATGGAGCAAGAACAGGTGTAGTTGATGTTTTATCTAGATTAGGTTTGCATACTGAGGAATCCAGCCCCACACTAAAAACCTACATGTGATTTTTCAGGCCCCACCATATAGGCAATTACAAAGGCTTACCTGACAGGCCACACAGGGGAAAGCTGCCCCGCATCAGACTTAGTGCATAGCTGCTGGGTCAGTCACATAGACCCTGGCCAAGCGACAATGAAAGGAGTACTCAGACACAGGTATGCAGTAAAAGAGCAGCTAGGGGACTGCCAAAGAGTGAGCAGTCTCAAACAGCTAGAGCTGATTGCTTTTATTCGGTACAGACATAAGGCCAAAAGCCTGGAGCAAACACAATCTGTGGGTAATTAACATTACTGTTCCCCCTTTCAGGGATCAGTCATGAGCGAGGATGGTCAAAGGTCGGTTTCTGGACAACACGGGTAAACAAACCTATTTAGATAAATTCCCATACACTCCCTTGTACCTACTCCTCGCCCTCTGCCTCAGGGTAACAGAAGAGCTGCCTTCAGCTTATTCTCCCCTGACGGTCTGCAGAGCCTTCCAACCTTTCAGAAGCCCTCCTTCTTTTCCTATAGCTTTTCACCACTCTGACTGATCCCCTACACATAGCCAATGTGGTGAATTCTCCAAGGGAAGTTGCAGTCAAGGATGCAGGCCTCTCTGGCAAGCCATGCTGTTACATATACTGGCAGTCCTAGCCCAGGAGCCTCTATTCCAAAGCTTGTTCATCTGAAGCCTTAGGCAAAGGTCATCTTTAAGCATTCTGCTGAAACCTCCTTACAGGGAGGAGAAGGTGGAAACCTTGAAATCACTTCCCCCCACCCCATTCTGACTCAGTGCTTTTCCATTCCCAGCTTCTCTCAACCCCACTTCCCCTGCCTTGTCCTGCACCAGCCCCAGGGACTATAAATCCGTAGAAGCCTTTTTGTTCAGAGCTTTTCAGGCAAAAGGTGAGACAACCTCCACATAAGTTGATCTACCTGATTCTTAACCATTGTGCTGTACAATGGGGAAAAATGGAACAGCGAGGAATTGGTGAAAGGCAATGGAAGGGCACCGTGGATCAATAAGGCCCAGAGGCGAGACAAAGAGGGCAAAAATCTTCTTTATTGAGCTCTCGGGCGAGGTTCACTGGTCCGCAGGGGGAGGGCCAGGGAAGTCACGCTGTGCTACAGGTGTGGCACGCTTATATGGATGCTGGGTGAGGAATGGGTGGGGTAGGGGCGGGGTTTGTTGAGTTTCGCGCTTCTGAGTGTGACGCGCCCTAGTGGGCATGCGCGTTAGTCAGGGTGGCGGGAACAGGAAAAGGTGAACCCGGAAATGCTGAGTCAGGGTACCCGGGGTGGCTGTCGGGAAGGCGGGAATAAATGGAGGGAATAAGCGAAAATGCCAAGTCAGGGTGGCCAAGATGGCCACTGGGATGGTGGGAACCGGCGAATCTGGGAATGCCAAGTCAGGGTAGCCAAGATGGTTGCTGGTCGCCATCTTGGAGTCTTCACCAGAGTCCAATCAGTCCAACCTCTTTTTGGTTATAGAAAAGGGGCAACGAAATCGTCTGGCTACTTCCTGCTGTTAAGGGGCATTGTTGGGGAGGGGGCCTAAATAGAGGTTGGCAGTTGGACATAAGGGTGAAGTAACATCTGGTTGAAAGTGACCCTGGTGATTTCTTGTATCCACTGGCAGAGGAACTGTACTAGGATTGGGGCAAAACACATTATTATACAGAGAATTATAATTGGGATAAGGAAAGGGAGCATCTGTTGAACTACGGGTGAAAACCACCAGGAAGGACCAGGGCGGAGAGGGTCGTAGGAGTGTTTTAACTCCTCTTGGATCTTTTCTTTAAAGTTTGTAAATTAGTCTTAACTACCCCTGACTGGTTGAGATAATAGCAGCATTCTTCCTGTAAGAATAAACATGTCCCTCCTTTTTCTGCCGTAAGCAAGTCTAAGGCCCGCCTGTTCTGTGCCGCCACCTGTGCTACTGAAGTGATCTGTCACTGTAGGGAGGCCAGGGACTCGGCCGATGCCTCAGTGGCCAACTGCAGGCAAGTAGACAGATCTTGAGATGTTTGGATTGAGTGGGTGAGGTCTCCTGTTCCTAGCCCTGATGCCACTAAGGAGGAGGCTAAGGAGATGCCTAGTACTAAGGTAGGAAAATAGCCCGTTTGCTTTTATTTTGCGGCCTTGGCTCGGTCCAGGCTAGCAGATGGCTAAGTCTGTCTGGACTATATAGTAGGGTCAGGCTAGGGATGAGAGAGATGGGTAAGCACAAGATGTGATTACCAGTTAAGAACTTTAGTTAGCGTGGAGTTACACCAGAAGTAGCCTCCGGGTGGTGCCGGGGTGCTGGTGAGCATCCTGGTCTGGTTACACCAAGAGGCATTTGGGGTAGAGTAACAGAACGGGAACTTGTGTCTTGTAGGGTCTCAGAATAGTGGGACCTGTCCTTTCGGGACCGGTGGTATAGGGGTGGATGAATTTCTTGTATAATTAAAGGAGGTAGGGAGAGGAACTGCTACTAAGGGAGGTCTTCCGAGGGCTGCACAGAGGAAGCAGTGGAAGAGGTTTTGTACCCCTGTGGATTGCAGCAATTGTGCAACTTCTGAGATTAAAGTTAACCACGAGAAGGGGGAGGACTTGGCCTGGTCAGCTGCCGGTTGAAGCTGGTTGGCAAGTTCTTTCTCGGCTGACTGGATTGAGGAGGCTAAGTCGGATAACCCTGTGACAGTGTTTTTAAGGGTCCTGGCAATGTGGATCTTAGCTACTGGATACATATAAGTTCTGTGCTCATATAGTCCTCCATCTACACCGGAGGCCCAGCGGGGGTCCCAAGGGTCAGAGATTTGGAGGTTAAATCCGTTAAAGCCATCCCATCCTCCAGTGGAGGTATTGACATAGAACATTGGGTCAGATCCTTTTTCAGCATGAATTAATGCCTCATGGATATTGCACCAGTGCCACGGACAGCCTACATTTTCTTTGACCCAGCTGGTATTGCATTTGGAGTTACTTTGATCATACAGGAAGCAAAGTGCAGGGTTTTTTCTAGCCGGGCCTGGGAAGAGAATTTTAGATCTAGGAAAGCTATGGGTGCCTGGCACCCTGCTGGCGGGCATGCTGCCATGGCTACTAGTCCAGAGGAGACTGCCTGTCTGGAACTCCAATTCTCAGTGAGGTTAAAAAACCCAGTGAGAGGGAGTCTGAGAGGGGGCTTGTCTACTATGACTGGTGTGCAAGAATAAGAAGAGTGACAAGACAAAAAAAGCGAACTTCATGTTGGTGAAAGTTCTGGAGGGAGCCTTGCCACACCAGTTCATCTATATAGGACAACAGATTTTCAGGCCAGCAAAGGGTGTTAGCAAAAGTAGGGAATGACCAGCTTTCCTCGAGAAGAACCTGAATAAATTGTTGGAGCCTGTCACACGGAGAATTCATGCGGTATTTGATTTAGAGAGTTTCAGTTTGGTTGGAGAGAGGGAGGTGACAGTCCAAGTGGCCTGATGTTGTGTAGGTGCCCCCTTAAGATGGGACATATGGTACCAGGAGGGAAAGCCTATAAGTTTAGCTGCCGTCGGTGTTGTAAGAATTACCGTATAGGGGCCTTTCCACCGGGGGAAGAGACCTCTTGCCTGGAGGTCTTTTACTAGTACCTGATCTCCTGGGATTATTATGGCTGGACTGTCTGGGCTGAGCGGTCCAGGCTTTGGAAGGCTGTGGTCGGCGTGTTCTCTTAGCAGCTCCCTTAACAGGGTGAGGTAGGGCAGGTACGTGCCAAGAGGTGGGGTATTCACAGGGAGCTCTTGAAAGAGGAAGGGGTGCCCGTATAGGAGCTCAAAGGAGCTAAGGCCTGTGGGGCTTCGGGGTGCTGCCCGGAGCCGTGCGAGGGCAAAGGGAAGTAAGGTTACCCACGGTTGGCGTGTCTCGAGAGCCAATTTGATTAGGTGTTGTTTGACAAGGCCGTTGGCGCGTTCCACTTTTCCAGAAGACTGCGGATGGTATGGAGTGTGTAGCTTCCAGTTAACGCCAAGTGTGGTTGTCACCTGTTTGACTATTTTGGAGATAAAAGCAGGCCAAATATCGGGATTATCTGTTCAATGAGGGTTGAAGCTACTACCTCTGCTGTTTTATGAGTGGTAGGGCAGGCTTTAATCTAACCTGAGAAAGTGTTTACTAAAGTAAGAAGATAACTTGATGTATTTGCTTTAGTAAGGAATAAAGGGAAGGATGGTAGATTATGGGTTCAAGAAAGTTATATAGTGGTCTAGATGGCAGGGCAGTGAAGGCGTCTGGCGGTAGGTGGAGGGAGTGCCATCAATCCTTATAACAGAGATTGAGGAGGGGCAGCTGGGCCTGCTAAAAGATGGCAAAACAGAGTAGGTAGCCCTTGTGTCTAGCAAAAAGGAAATGGATTTACCCGCTACCTGAAGCATTACCCTGGGCTCGGCAAGGGTGAGAGGGGTTCCCAAGTCTGGGCCTCTTTAGTCATCGTCCAGCTGGAGGAGCTGGAGGGCACCTTCGCCATCCGGGGAGGGGTCACCATGTGGAGACACAGTGGCCGCTCCGAGGCCGGGGCAGTCTGACCTCCAGTGCCCCATTTGTTGGCAGTTAGGGCACGGGCGTGTTGGCGGCTTGGGGTTTGGGCACTGTTTTGCCCAATGACCTGGATTGCTGCACTTGAAACAGTTGCAAGGCGGGCAGGACGGTTGCTGTTGGCTAGGGCACCGGCTGGCCCAGTGTCCCGAGTTGCCGCACTTGAAGCGGCACCAGACGGGGCCCGGGAGATTGTACCTCTACCTCTCCTGCCGGGGCTCTTAGGGAATGCCGGTTGCAGGGCTTGTGTTTGGAGCTGAACTTTTTATTTCAGTCTTGCCTGTCATTGTACCTCAGCCGCCTCCTCTCGGGAATTAAAAACTTTGAACGCCAGCTTTACTAAGTCCTGCATAGGGGTTTGGGGGCCCTCCACTGCCTCATCCAGGATTAGCGGATATCACTGCCCGCAGCAAATATGTTAGGAGTTGTAGAAGTAGTGGACTGGTATGGCACTATGGGGAGGTGGAAATGAGAATGGGGGTAAGACGGAAGCCAAGGAGTTAGGTGGGCAGGGTTAAAAGAACAAATGGGAACTAACAGGAATTAAAACGGTGGCCGAATGGCAGCAGAAGAACTAAAATGGCGGCAGAGAAAAAAGGAAGTAAGATGGCGGCAGTGAGGAAGCAGGTAGTAAGATGGCGGCGGCGGTGCAGAAGGAGATGGCGGTGGAGAGACTAAGATGGGGGCCGCGGACAGGATTAACGGCAAGAGAGGCTAGCCACACTTCAAGTGGAAGGCTAACCAGAGGGACTTGCACCAGCGAAAACACTTGGTGGCAGTGGTCCGACGAGAGTGGAGGTCCCAGAACCATTGAACAAATTTGATTTTTGACTATTTGCCTCGCCTCTGACAAAAATTGGTAAGGTCGTTTAGGATACTGAAGTCGAGTGTGCCTTCGGGGAGCCAGCGAGATTGGTCGTCTAAGGTATATTGCGGCCAGGCAACCATGCAGAAGAAAATTAGTCGCTTTCGTTTTAAATCTTGGTCGAGTTGTAAAGTTGGGAGGTTGTGCAGGAGGCACCCTAAAGGGGTGTTTTGCGCGATTTTGGACTGGGTGGACCTCATCCTCTTCCCTTTATGGCAGCAGTCTGAGGGACAGCAGAAGCGTCCTCTGGGGTCACTCAGACCACGCGGTTCCTGGAGCCTCGGATCGGCTACTTCAGACACGGACGTCTCCGAGTTGTCAGTGCCGATTTGGACTTCCCCTGGGGAAGTAAACTTGGGTCACCTGGTGACCCAGACTGGCCTTCCCTTGAGGAAGGAAACTCTCCCTGGACGTGCGCACGACTCTCGGCCAGGGAGGAACAGACAAAAGGAAAAAGAAGGGGTGCTCACCCAGCGTTCACTGAATTGGACTGGAGTAGCTGCAGCAGTTGCGACCTGGCGGCAAGTAACCGGACGAAACGGACAGATGGCCATGGAGGAGAAGCCTGACCTGACTGATGGAGAGGCCTGATCTGACCAGGAGGGGAGTCCCCCTGAGCCTCTGGGGGGGCTTAGGAGGTATCCCCTCCAGGGTTTCAGCAGCAATGAAAGGCAATGGAAGGGTATCGTGGATCAATAAGGCTGAGAGGCGAGAGAAAGAGGGCAAAAATCTTCTTTATTGAGCTCTCGGGCGAGGTTCACTTGTCCGCAGGAGGAGGGCCAGGGAAGTTGCGCTGTGCTAAAGGTGCAGCAGGCTTATATGGATGCTGGGTGAGGAGTTGGCGGGGTAGGGGCCGGGTTGGTTGAGTTTCGCGCTTCTGAGTGTGACGCGCCCTAGTGGGCATGCGCATCGGTCGGGGTGGCGGGAACAGGAAAAGGTGAACCCAGAAATGCTGAGTCAGGCTACCCAAGGTGGCTGTCGGGAGGGTGGGAATAAATGGCGGGAATAAGCAAAAATGCCAAGTCAGGGTGGCCAAGATGGCCACTGGGATGGCGGGAACCCGCGAATCTGGGAATGCCGAGTCAGGGTAGCCAAGACGGTTGCTGGTCGCCATCTTGGAGTCTTCACCGGAGTCCAATCAATTGGTACTTCTATGTTTTAGCCTCTTGCTTTTATTATTGCAGTAAGTGATTAATGACTTGAGTAATACTCTTTTTGACTTGTTGCTTTAATTGACTACTCCAACACCTGGCAGCTCAGCTCTCCTCAGCTCAGCAGAGCTCCTGACATGTATCCCTCTTTGCCTAGCTGGTTTAGGTTTAAATCCCGACCCAACCAGCACACACATCATTATAAAACACAAAGCTTTCTGAAAATTATTTAACTACCTTGAGCCTCAGATTTCTCATCTAAATGGCAATAACAGCATTCACCACATTCAACTTTTTTGGGGGAGGATTCCAGGAGATGGCTTGTGTAAGAATCAGTAGTCTCAGTCCATGGTAGTGAGTCAATATTAATGATGACATTGGAGATTATGAAAATGATTATTTAGATTACTCAACACCAGGTCCCTTTAAAACCTACACACTTTTCTCTATGGAGGAGTTGGAGTTCAAGTGTTTAATTCATTTCCTCTCACTAAAAAATTAAACACCAGTGTTTAAATAATGATGAGCAGGGAGTTCCAGAAAAATAACTAGTTTGAGCTCTGGGTCCTCAAATGAAATTTTATTTGAATTCCGGCAAAAAGATGCATCGGTTCAGATTGCAAATCAAGTCCCTAACCTGAAGGCAGGGCCTTGGCGTTCATTTCAGGCCTTCATTTCAGTCTGAGTGCTCTGTTTGTTTTTGGTAAAATATTTTCAAGCTTTCTTGTTTACAGTATGGATTTTTGTTAAGAGCTATACTCTTCTAAAATGTAATTTTTAATTTCCTTGTTTATCCTTAACCATATTTTATCATTCCAACCCACACCTCCATGTGAAGAAGGTAAGATGGAAATATTGGAGACAAGATGGCAAGAGATTGTGAAAGCTAGAAATGACTCCCTCTTCCTACTCTCCACATTGTCAGCCCTCTGAGAACACATTGGCCCAACTGCTTGTACTTTGTCAAAATGAATTCATCCCAATCTATGTATCATAAATAGATGCAAATATTTCCAAGATGCACCTGGGTATGCAGGCATCATAACCAACTAATTCAGTAAACAGAGAGGAGATGTACATTCTTTATAAGTCTGCAGGGAAGCAGAAAAGACATTTCTAGAGATGAAATTATACAGCAGGGCTTCTTAGTTTAGAGACAGCAAGATTTCCTTGATATTTTTTCAGCTCTTCTTCATTCATCTATTCAGCCATTTATGCAGTAGTCATCGTGAGTGTTTCTATATGTAAGCTCTGAGCTAGATAACTCCATCTAACACCATTGCAACTTATCTCCAGCTGAGCCTGTTGGGTGAATACTTTTATCTGCATTGATTATCAATCCTCTTCGAGAAAGTAAAACATTCTACATGAGGTGTTTTACTTTATGTTGTTTAGTTTATTGAGTTGACTCCTCTGGGTAAACATAGTTATTTTGGCCATTATGAACACATAACCTCAATCAAAGAACTAATGAAATTTACATGGGAACAGGAAGCTATACGTGATTTTTTTTTTTTTTTTTTTTTTTTTTTTTTTTTGCTATCAGCTAAGACATGTATTTGCCAGATTCTCTTAGTACCTACAACTTGTGAAGGATCCTTGGGGATATTCTATTAAATTATCAAAGCACTGATGAGAAGGTAATGGGAGTCAGAATGTAGTATACAGGAAGGAGCTTTGTCCCTTGATCAATTCAGGAAAATAAGAAAGTCATACAACTTGAATAACATTAACATAATCTTTTGGTTTATTTCATGTTCCATAAGATGTAACTACTAAAATGAAAACATGTGTCTTAGGATGCATTAATGGAAATAATAGATCCAGTAATATAACTTATTTGGTGAAAAAATGACTAGAATTATTTGAGTCTGGAATTCTTCTCCTAGGAAACAATTCAAGAAATTAACTACATATATTTGGTGAAAATTAGCAGAAAGCTAGAATTTAAGTATGTTTAAATTATAAAATAAATTATTTAATTCTCATGTAAGATGTTTGAAGCAGCTCTAGGTAAACTAGATAGAAAATGTTGAGCTACAGACAGGACCAAAATTCCACTTAGTTTATTAACAGAAACAATAGGAAAATTAAAAACTAATAGAGGGAAGTGGACAGAGCAGATATTAAGATTAGATTTTTATAAGATGTAAATTTTCCTGTGTTTCTTTAGGATGCTTATCTCCAATAGAAAATGATAAAATTAAATTCTATGTACATTAAAGAAAAGTATGCTGTAAAATGACAAGTGATATAAATCCTATGCCTAGAATTGGTGGATCAGTTGGGAACTACAACAGTAATTATGGGTCTCATTTTATTTAAATGATTTTTGGCAGATGTTCTTGGAAGAAAAACTGAAACCCAAAACAGCATTTGTAGTACCAGATGGATTTTATGAGTTGAACGTCTTACCCTTTGGACTGTAGAATTCACATGTCTCTTTTTAAAGATCGATTAATAATTTATTAATGGGTAGAGTCACTCAACACTGATGCCATACAGGTACACAGCCAGACTGTTTCAAATGAATGTCTGGAGCCACTTGGCCTGGTATTAACTTTAGCCATAAAGCTAGTCTTATGCTCAAGCTTACTACATGGGAGCAATGTGGACGTTCACAAAGTATGAAATAAGAATATAAACAATTGCAAAATAAGATTAATAGAAACTTTTAAACTTTTTGAACAAAGACACAAATAAGGAAATTCACTCAACAATCTTTATTGACCTCTTGATCTGTGTCAGAAATGACATAAGTACATTAGCATATCAGGTGCTGGCTTCCATTCTTAGGACTAAACTTGTTCCAATATGTGATTTCCAACCAAATTGGAAACTTGAAAAGGGAATCTGTCCCTTATTATGTCAGATAGATTTAGAGGGAAAAAAAATGATACTTCTCCAGGTTTTCTGATGATCTGTGTAGTAACAGTACTATTATCTTCCTCCATCTTTTAAGTCAGCATTCTGAAATCCTGTCCAACCACCAAAAACAAATTGCTGCTTGCTTTGCCCTGTAGTGTCAGTGTATCCTGGAATTAATGCTGGTTATCTGCTCAGCACCTCTAAGCTCCTCACTATTTCCCCTGGTTCAGCAGTAACATCTGTCATCCAGGAACCACTCCTTATCATTTTATAGAGGACTTGCATGGTGGGAGCTGACATATGTTACATGCTGCCTCTAAGAGAACCTGTGATAGAAATTGTTCTATCCACAAATGAGCCAGTAAAAAGCCAGTCTAAACAAGGCAGCTTACCAAGCAAAACTCTTCCCAGATTATCTCTGTGTGATCCACCCTTTCCCCCATTATAACAGATACTTTTTTTCCTGTAATGTCAGACTTATCCCAGAATCATCCTGTATTTCTCTGTAGTTATCAGTCCCTTAACACAAAAGCTCCAAATTCTAAAGATTTTACCCCCTTAATATCTATCCTCCTCTTATTTTTTCACAGCAACTGATTTCCTTTATAACCCCACAGTATTTCTGGCAAAATCTATGTCTGATTATGTTAAGTCAAGCTTCATATGGTACTTTCCCAAGGCCAAAGTCTAAATTCACTTACATGGAACCTAATAGGTACTCAGTAAATCATCACTGAGTTAATTTTATTTTGCCCGTTATATCTGGGTACGTTTTCTCACCCATATTTGCCTGTCTTAGTCATTAACTCAGGCATCACCATCAGTTTCAGTTTTCCTTGGTTTTATGTGTCACATTTTGTCATAGAACAGTTGAATTCCCTTAAGTATCACTAAGATAAAATCAGAAGAAATCATATTTTCTACCAGGATGATGATGAATGCACGTATTAGTCAGGAGTCTCCAAAGAAACAGAACCAATAGGATACACATAGAGATATATAAAATGAGATTTATTATGAAAATTGGCTCACATAATTATGGAGGCAGAGAAGTCCCACAATATGCATCGACAAGCTGGAGACCCAGGGAAGCTGGTGGTGGAATTCAGTCTGAGTCCAAAGGCTTGAAACCCAGGAGTCCTGATGTCCAAGGAGGAGAGAAGATGGATGTCTCAGCTCTAGAAGAGAGAAGAAATTCATTTTTTCTCTGCCTTTTTGTTTTATCGAGGCCTTCAGTAGATTGGATGATGCCTGCTCACATTGGTGAGGACAGGTCTTCCTTACTCAGTTCACGGATTCGAGTGCCAGTCTCTTCCAGAAACATTCTTACAGACACACTCAAGTAAGGTTTTCCTAGCTATCCCTCAACCCAGTTAAGTCGACACCTGAGATTATCCATCCCAATGCCATTTTCAAGTTATACTGCCTCAAAAAATAATAAAGAGAAAACATAAAGTAAAATTTTTAAATTTTGAGTTAACCAGCAATGATTATAAAATAGGTTTTTGAAATTTGTCGACCTGTTGCTTGATGTCTCCAATCTTATTTTCTATTCTTCAAGCTTTAGAGTAGAAGTGTTGTGCTTTCTCCACACCACCTGCGCAGGTGCTTTGACCTCACCAGTGCCTATGGAAAGCTTATTGACTCAATTATCAATAGATATGAAATTCTTACTCTTGATTCAGGGTAGGGCAATTCTTATATCTGCATCTGCATTCTTGAAAAAGACTGCATGCATGATCTTATGTCAATAAGTCTATAATTTCAAATGTGTATTGTCATTGATCCAGAAAATATTCACCTTCACCAATTCCACACATCCACACACATACTTATAGTTACTCTGCTTGCCTGAACCTCATCTTTTGGCCCAGAGGTGTAAATAGAATTGGTTATTCAGTGACGCCCACCCACCTTGCCCCACTTCTTCCAAGAACATGTTTTAAAAAGCACATCCAGCAATCCCACTGTTGGATTATATATCCAAAAGAAAAGAAATCAGTGTGTTAAAGAGATAGCTGCACTCCTATGTTTGTTGCATCATTGTTCACAATAGCTAAGATTTGGAAGCAACCTAAGTGTCCATCAGCAGATGACTGGATAAAGAAAATGTGGTACATATGTGCAATGAAATACTATTCAGCCATAAAAAAGAATGAGATCCTGTCATTTGCAACAACATAGATGCTACTGGAGATCATTATGTGAAGTAAAATAAGCCACACACAGATAAACAAACTTTGCATGTTCTCATTTATTCATGGGGGCTAAAAATTAAAACAATTGAACTCATGGAGACAGAAAGTACAAGAGTGGCTACCAGAAGCTGGGAAGGTTGGTGGGTTGGGGGAAGTGGGGATGGTTAAGGTGTACCAAAAATAGTTCAAATGAATGAATAAGACCTAGTGTTTGTTCGCACAGCAGGGTGACTATAATCAAAAATAATTTAATTGCACATTTGAAAATAATTAAAAGTTTATAATTGGATTATTTGTAATGCAACAGATAAATGCTTGATGTGATGGATACCCTATTTACCCTGATGTGATTGATTATTACTTACTGTATGCCTCTATCAGTATATCTTATGTAGCACTTAAATATCTCCCTTAAATACATCTAGTATATACCCACAAAAATTAAAACTTAAATTTAAAAATTTAAAAATAAGAAAATAAAAATTAAAAAGAAAAGGAAAGAAAAAAAGCACATCTCTCTCCTTGCCTTCTGCAAATTCTGTGGCCTTCTAGAGGCCCTTCCCTCAGAAAGCAGCCCTCACCACCCACCCCTTCCTTTGTTTTCAGGATAGTTGCCTATGCCTTGAGCAGCAGATTTCAATGAGATGTTCCGTGAAATTAAGAAAGGTAACTGCAGCATTGAGCAAGAGAAACAGTTCACAGACTATCCTTAAGAAAAATGGTAGGAAGTACCCTGAGGTGAGAGGAAGGGAAAGAGAGAGAAATAAAGAAAATATAGATTGAGATGGAAAAGCCAAATTGGTATTTACAGTGAAACACAGGAATATCCAAGTGGCAATGATGGCAGCACATGGGAACCTGGGGCAAAGGATATGAAGAGAGGAGGAGAGCCATGAATTAATGAACTTCTATAACATAACTATGCTACCTAGAACACAACCTTGCCTTAGAAGTCCGATAAGAGATGTATGAAGTTTTTAATGTTCACCATGAGTAGATGCAATTTCATAAGGGAAAAATGCTCAATATAAAAACAGACAAGGTTTATGAACAGGTAAGTCATCTTCTAAGGGGAGAAAACAGTCAATAACACAGGAAACTATATTTGGAAGCTATGAGTAATGAAATGAAATTAAAGTGATACATCACTTTTTACATACAGCATCATTTTGAATAAAGAGAACATATTACCATATTCTTTATTTCCATGGGTTTTTGGGGAACAGGTGGTATTTGGTTACATCAATAAATTCTTTTGTGGTCATTTGTGACATTTTGGTGTACCCTTCACCCAAGCAGTATTCACTGAACCCAATTTGTAATCTTTTATCCCTCACCCCCTTTCCACCTTCTCCCCCCGAGTCCTGAAAGTCCATTGTATCCTTCTTATGCCTTTGCATCCTCATAGTTTAGCTCCCACTTATGAGTGAGAACATAACGATGTTTGGTTTTCCATTCCTGAATTACTTCACTTAGTATAATAGTCTCCAATGCTATCCAGCTTGCTTTAAAAAAAAAAAATAAACCAAATCTACTCTCAGTTAAAGACAACTCCTTTACATTAAAACAATTGAATGGATTTCTACCAATGCTTCTGAAAGTAATTCTAGATGATGTTATCTATTTTTTGGAGGAGTGTACTTTTCAATTAGTTTAGTGATTTTGTCATGCTGTCCCTAGATTTCGGCTTCCTAGCTTTGTCCTTGGAGCAGTGTCTCATTTTCCTTGTAATTCAGTTTGCTCTGTCTTTGGTCATATGTGAAATGGAAATGTTGAGTCACATTTTCAGTCTTCTGAGTCTAAGTCTTCCCCTACCACCTCCTTTCTAACTCTTCCCCAAGCAGGAGAATATCTAATCTGATATACCATAACTCAAAAACTCACTGTATGTTCAAAGTAGCTGTGCTTTAAAAGCCCATCTTTTTTATTCTTTTTCTTTTTAAATAAATGTGCTAATAATGATAGATAACTCTTGTATAGTGCTTACCCTGTCACAGGCACTGTTCTAAATGGTACATATTTAATTACTCCATTAATCAACCTAAAACTTTATGAGAAAATATAATTTTCACCCCATTTTAGAGACTAGAAATATGACATATGAGTTAGAGGCTAACTAACTTTTCCAAGGTCATTCAATTTCTGTGTGTCAGAGTCAGGGCTGAGCCAGACATTCTAGCTCAGAATCCTGTGTTCTTGAGCACTGGGCCACGTACATCTCTTAGGTAACCATGGGTCAGAATAAAGAGGACCTTGCAAATAATTTACATATTTAGACCATTTTTATTTGGCTTTATTTGAAGCCTCATCCTGGAATTAGGTCGAAGGTTGTTACTACCATTAATATAAGGTGGTAAATAGAATTGAAAGTGTAATAATGTCAGCCTAGTGAATAGTTTGGCCTTTAAGTTAACTAAATCAATGCTCGCTCCCATCAGTTTCAGAGACAACCGTTCCAGTGGCTATAGGAGGATTAAAAGAGAACAAAGGAGGATATTGGGGCATCAGCCTCACAGAAGTGGGTCAGGAAAGTCATACCTTTGCTTGATCTTATGCTAGATGCTCCTCTGAGTTAAGAGAAAACAAAAACAGAGCAATACTTGTGAAGAAAAACGTGCTTCTCTTGTCTCATCTTAGCACTGAATATGCTAATGGCCCTTCCGGACACCTACCTCAACAGAAACAATGCTAACCTGAATGAATAGATCCCAGGACATTCTTTTCGTAAACCCAGTCCAGCCTACATTCTTTATTTCATGTTTTGCCAAACACCATTACATTAGAGGTCATTAGAAACTTGTCAATATATTTAAAAATTCTATTCTGATTCTCTTTGTTCTTTTGTATGTGTGTGTGTGTACTTAATAATCCTCTGAACTTGATGAGAGGGAATGTGGTGACTGAATAGAGTAGCATGTAAGTATTCTAAAGACTCTGACTGTAATTCCATCAAAATGCTACACTTATTCTTATCAAGGAATACAATCTAATTATTATCCAACCTATTATGAAATCCATTTCTGAACAGGTACCAACTAGAGGGATGTTCCTAGGATACATTTCATAGCTAAGTCCCTGCCTTTCCCTGTTTCTTGACTCTCAGACTTAATGAATTAGAATACAGTAGCAAGCAAGTTGTAACTGGAGACAGAGGAGACAAGAAGGAAAGTCCAGCACTTGGCAAAGGCAGGGTACATTCAGATGAGAGCCTGGAAGGGGAGAGAAGCACAGAGCTGAAGAAGGATTATTAATAAGGTTTAGGGCAGAGGCAAAGAATCATCTCCATCATTTTCTTGAGGGCTGGTCCAGAAAAGGTCCTATAATACTTAGCCACCCTAAGCAAATCCAATATTTTAAAATAGGTGACACATCTTAACTGGCTTATGACATCATGTCTCAGACACAGAATTGCATCTGGCCAGGCTGCAGCCCAAGCCATCTGAATGATGATGTATTTATAGTTTTGCATATTTTTCAAACAAGACATTTAATTAGTGCTTGCTTATTATTATGGAAGAGATAGCTTGGCAGCTTATTATCCCTCCCTTTGCTGCCTCCAAGCAGTCACAGAGGCTTCTGGACATCTTTTCTCCATGAATTCATACAAGACATGTGTTTGTTACTGAGCCATGGCAGCCATGCTGGATAAATCTAGGGGAAGGAAATATTCCAGTCCCAAAAAGTCCAAGTTACAGATGGTCCTGTCATGAGGCTGTGGCCAACACATCTTTCAGGTCTAAGGTGGATGGGAAGAATATTGAAGTCAAGGCCCAAAAGAGGTAATTTCCTTCCCTAGCATTTAACTTCCCACTAGTACAGGGGTTTAGAACAAAAGAATCATAGTGATAGCTACTGTATATTTAGGACCTATCATGTGCTGGGCAGTGTGCTAGATGCTTAACATATCTATTCATATGGCACATGGTGAGGCTGGTACCACACTTTTTTGAACACTTTGTCCCTTAAAAAGAGACCAAATTGAGCTTATTGCAGGGAAATCTGAATTTGCCATCTGATGCTCCTCATGGGAAGATAATTAAAATGAAGAACTTTAGGAAAAGTACATTAAAATGAATATCAGGAAAGAGACTAAGGCCCTCTCTTTAAGATTGTTTTGTAGGAGTTGTAGGTCCATACAATGTCTCTGTAGAGTTTCCTTCAAAGACAATAGATGTTTCCATTGTCATCATTCTTGGGAAGGTCAATTCAGGGGTAGGAAACAGAGACAGGGAGAGCAGGATTAGACAATGAAGGTGCTCTACCCAGATGTCCCCTTAGATACTTATGACCGTTTTTGCGACACCTCTGACTACTTGTTCTTGCTTTACACTACTTCTATTTGTGACTTCTTTGTATGAATACTCCTGGCTATTAGAACTGGAATTGCCTTTGAAGTTACATGCCTTTAGAGCGGCCATTACCTATTGACTAGTTGATATAGAGTATATAACCCAGATCCTTTCCTCAAGTTAATAAAGATTATGAGGTGTAACTTACACTTCAGAGTGGACAAGGCTCATGCTGGGATTTTGCCTATAATTGCATTCTTGCCTAACTTCATCCCTTCCTTTCTTTTCATTGTCTTACAAATCCCTCTTAGAAGCAATTCTTTAATACATCTCTGGCACATGAATTCTCATATCAGGATCTTATTTTAGGGAACATAGACTAAAACAATTGATGTGAGGGATAAATCTCCCACAGTTTCTTTGGACCTATGAACTTAATTTTGCCCATATTCTGGGATTTAGAATTGCATGTAGTGCTTCCAGAATATGTGTGGAGGTAACAACTGAAAGGAAATTGAGGTCAGAAAAGGTAAGAGCTGCCTGTGGAGAGCACTGAAGAAAAGGAAGAGAAGTGACCTGAGAAAACCTACATAAATCAATATTGGCCTATACAGGAGTTTTAAGTTACTCTATTGCATTTACTTTCCACTTTACCAGCTCTCACAATTAAATCTGGTTAAAATTTATGCTAAGTATGCTTAAAAACTCTTAGTGGTATCAGTTCTTTCGGCCAAAGGCCACCAGAAATACAGCTGCATTTAAACAAGTTGAATTTACTAAGCATTGCAGTGAGGGAGAACACATACCATGGGAAATCTCAGTGATTGGGCATTAGAAAGAACCTACTACAGAATTTGGGATTTAGTTGGATGGTTTGGGGTGGGTCTAAGAAAGCAAGTTTTGTGCTAGATTGGATGCTGTCAGAAAGCAGGGGCAACGCTATGATTAAACATCTCAATATACCTTACCTACCACAAAGAAAAAACCAATTGGTGAAGAAATAGCAGCCACATAGTTGGCTAAGGAGGGCATGTTTGGTATTTTGTGGGTGGCAGAGTGACCTTGCTTTTACCTGTGCTTAGACAAAATTATGAAGTGTTCTTGTTTTGTATCATTTTATTACGGTCTCTGAGTAACCTTGTCTTAGGTTGGTATTCTGTGAAGTTGTTTATGCTAAATAGGATAATCATTCGGCTATGCTGTGAGTGCCAGGCCAGCTTTCAAATATCAGAGTTTCTCTTTTTTAATTATCTGGAATTTCTTACTACTTTTAGAATGAAGATGAAGTTCCTAAATACGTTAAAACACCTCTATAATCAGTTTCCTGCCAACTCTTCTGGTGAGATCTAGAATGATATTCACACTCACTCTACTCTAGCCACGTGGCAACCTTTTCTTGGTCTCTTGTGTGTGCTTCATGGATGCTTTATGCTTCCTAAAGCATAAAGATTCCTTTAACTTGGGATCATACTGTTCTTAACATTTTACATGATGTTCTATTTAACTTTTTCTTCTACTCTTGACACTATCTCATATGAATGCTGTTATGCCATTAAATAGTCTTTGCAGCTATGAGTTTAATGACTGCACAGTATTTCATCTTGGACCTTTCTATGTTAGTTACCTACTTGTGCATAACAAATTACTCCAGGACTTAAAAACAACAAGCATTTATCATGTCACACAGTTTCTGAGCGTCAGTAATTAGGAGGCATCAGCCAGGTGGTTCTAACTCAGGGTCTCTCAGGAAGTTGTAGTCAAGCTGTCCACTGGGCTCCAGGCTCTGAACACTCAGCTGAGGCTGGAGGATTTAATTCCAAGCTCACTTACCTGCCTGTTGACTGGAAACTTCAGTTTCTCACCCATGTGCTTATCCACAGAGCTGCTTTCAAGATGGCTTCTTTCAGAGTGGGTGACTGGAAATGGCCAAGGGGACATAGGGTAAGGGGGTTATGCTGCCTTTTGTGATCTAGTCTTCAAGTTACATACCATCATTTCCACCATATGTGATCCATTAGAAACAAGGCACTAAGGTTGATCTACACTCAAAAGAGAGGACATTACACAAAGATATGGATACCGGGGCACTGGGATCATTGAAGCCATCTTGAAGTCTGACTACCATGTTTACCTTACTGTTTAAAGCTGTATAACTGTATATAACGTTTTATATAGCTTTGTGTAACTGTATATAAGTTTTTCTCTTCTGATATTTAGGCCTATTTCCATTTTTGCTATTTAAAAAGAAGTCATTAATTTTTTAATTTAAAAATATATGTTAAGTGTCTTGAAGTGCTAAGTACTGAATACAAATTTGTTTTATGATGCAAAACAAACTGAAGTGAAACATTTTGCAGTTAAAAGCTTAAGACAGAAATCTTTCCTGTCACAATCTATAATTATTTCATTAAGGTAGAGTCCTAAAGTGAGATTATTGAAATAAAATATATAAATATTTAGGTACTTAATATATATTGCTAATTGATTTTCATAAAATGTATATACATCAATATTCCCAGAAGCAGCAGCATCTCATTATAAAATTAATAGTTTTCAATATTCATATTTAATACATGACCACTTCTAAGGTAATAAGTAAAAAAATTATGTATTCTTGTTTCTTTAATCTGCGTGTGCAATATTTGACTTGTAGAGAGAGGTTAAACACATTCTTTTTTTAATTAACAGATTTTCTCATTGCTTTTTTTAAAGCTCTTCATAAGGCTATTAACTTTAATATCAGCAATGTTTGCTTCAAATATTAGTCTGTTTATAATAAATCTCTTAGTTTATAGTAGATCTTTAAGTATTTACAAGATGTTTAACATTTGGACATTTTATGTTTTTGTAATGTCAAATCTATTGATCTTCCATTTTTTCTTATCAGTTCCCCCATTTTCAATTAAATAGTTATCCACATTTTCTTTTATATCATATACAGCAATAAGATTTTAATTAAAAATGTTTTATACTTTGACATATCAGACATATATTTTGGTTAACTATATATATGCATATATATGTATTATATATATGCATGTATAATTATATATATTTAATTTAAAATGTTTTATACTTTGATACGTGACATATATTTTAGTTAACTATATATATGCAATGAGGATCCAATGCTTTTATTTCAATGTATTGAATATTCTTTCACTTCTCATTAGCTTGGAAGGTTTCTGAAACCATACTAGGTTCTTATATAAGCTGTAGCTACTCATTAGTCCTCCCATTAACCCAAAGATGCTACGAACATAACACATTCATTTAAAATGCTATTAATTAATCCAAAGGACTTTCCCCGTGCCTTTTTAAAAATCTTTTATCTTTGTAAGGCTTCTATGCAATCCCTGGTTAGGGTCTTTCTGGGTACTTTATGATTTGTTTGTTTTCTAATATATAGTTCTCTTTTGTGTTATAACTTCTAAGAGAAAGCTGTTGTTTCATCTTACTTGTAACAACATTACTGACAATATTTTGGTAAGTTTAGTGTTTTCAGTTGATTTTTATGGCATTTCTATGTATGTAATATTTGATAATAATGAATTTTTTTAACCTCAACTATCTAATGATTACAATGTATTTTTATAGTCTATTATGTGGATCAGAATGTCTGGAACAAGCTTAAAAGAATTAAAATTAGTGGGGAATTTATTTTATTTGTGAACTTGATGTGACATGTCCAGCATTTCAATACTCATGAAATTTTGAAAACCTAACGTCAAAGTAAGACAGAGTAAACCTTGAAGGAAAGCAGAAATATTTTACTCTTCTGCACATCTCCTGTGCTCATCACTGTTATACACGTCATTGTTTTCTAAAACGAGGACACCATTGATAACTCTGCATATAGGCTCTGCTTTTGCTCTGTTAAACTGTCCCGGTGATCATCATGTTTCAGTGCATCTAAGAGTTAGCCAAAACCATGTAAACTCAACCTCATGTGCAATATAAGAACTACTCAGAGTTAATCATGACAATGGTGATTTGAGCCTTTTATACTGACTTTACAATATAACACAACTCTTTTTATATATAAATAAACATCTCAAAGTTTATACTCCTTCATGGCACTTCACAGAGTAACTCCTTTATATTAATATTCATTATTATTCAATAAGTTACTCTTCTACCAGACCCTCAATTCTATCAGAGCAGGATTCACACTTCTTTTCATCTATTGTCATACCTATATTAGTTTGCTACTGCTGCTGTAACAAATTGTGACACATAGTGCATAAAACAATATAGATTTATTATCTTAAGTTCTGTCTGGCATCTGATGCAGTTGTCACTGGGATAAAATCAAGGTGTCAGCAGGGCTGTGCTCCTTTCTGGAGGCTCTCAGGGAGAATTGGTTTTCTTACCTTTTCCACCTACTAGAGGCCTTGAATGTTCCTTGACATTTGGCCCCACTCCTAAATCTTGGAAGCCAGTGATGTGGGTTAAGTTCTTCTCACTCTAACCTCTATTTTTCCCTTTGGCATCTACTTTTAAGGATGCTTAGGATTAGATCAAACCACTCAAACATTTCAGGATAATCTCCTCTATTTTAAGGTTAGTTGATTACTAACCTTAATTCCATCTGCAACCTTAATTCCTCTATGCAATTTAAGGTAATAGATTCACAAATTCCAGGGATCAGAATCTGGATATTTTTAGGGACAATTATTCAACATATCACAATACTCAATATGCTACCATAATTGGTACTAAATAAATATTTGTCATATAAATGAATACATGAATGAATGAAGACTACAGACTTAATTTACTCTTTAAATAACAGAGAAGCTTCTCAATATTTTTAATTCTTGAAAACTTTTAAAAACAATAGCTATGAAAGTTTCTTTTTTAATACATTTTAAGTATTCTATTATCAACTTTTTTTATGGAGTCTAATAATGAGCTAATAGATTGACTATTAAGCCATTGTGCATTCTTGTGTCGTCATGGGACTAATAAATCTGGTTGGCCATTTCTTAAAGATACTTGCACACTGATGAGACACATGCTATGTTAGATTTTAGTATTATAGTTTATTCACTTAAAATGATACTAATAGCTTATATATAATAAATGTATAATTGTTTATTATCTGCTCCACACTGGGACAAATTGTAAATATTATAAATGTTTACTAGCTATTCTCTTCCTATCCTCATGTTCAATGTATAAAATTTTATAATCAGTCCTCACAACAATTCTATGTAGCAGGCTTCATTATTATCTTTATTTTATAGATAACTAAAATTAGTTTTATAGACACTAAGTATTTTGGCTATTGTTATGGCAAAGTTGATGTTGGTAGACACAACACACCAACTCTGGTCCTTTTGAGATAATAATCTATGCTACTAACCACAGTGTTCTATTAATTGGTACATTTTGTCTCGGTCTGTCACCCAGGCTGGAGCTCAGTGGCGTGATCTTGGCTCACTACAACGTCTGCCTCCTGTGTTCAAATGAGAGCAACCGGCTAATTTTTGTATTTTTAGTAGAGACAGGGATTCACCATGTTGGCCAGACTAGTCTCAAACTCCTGACCTCAAGTGATCTGCCCACCTCAGCCTCCCAAAGTGTTGGGATTACAGGCATGAACCATCACGCCTGGCCTAATTGGTGCATTTCTTACCATGTTTTTTGTGTGGTTGTTCTGAAATAGTCTATATGGCATTTTTTCTTAGAAAACTTCAAAGAGTGTACCTTTAAAGCCTGGACTTAGAGGTCTTTATAGAACAAACTTCTGTTATAACCTTTTTAGTGACTTTCTTTTTGCCTGGATTAACCTGGACCTTCCTCACGGCCCCTTATTTCTTATTTGATCATTAAATCCTTCAACAGGTTTGAACTCAACAGCAGTTTTTTGCCAAGAAATCTATTGGGTACATTATTGTGTCTTCTCTCATGGAGTTAAGTCCTATTCCAGAAGCCATCAAATAAAATGAAAAGAATAACTAAATACATAATCAAATTACAATTAGTGTTGTGCAGAAAATTAATACATTGCAAAAGAAAACAATAAAAGGGGCGACCTAATTTACAGAGGTCAGGAAGGTCTCTCCCACTCCCTGTACCTTGAGAAGATTACTTTTAACCAGAGATCAAAATAATGAAAAAGAATCAACCCAGTGAGGAGGAGCCAGTCATGCTTTCCATCCTCCTGAGACTGTACAGTGATGGTCTAACATCTTCTTTTGGTTATGAAAATTTAAAAAGAAAATTATAAGCATGTTCTCCGAGTATCTGTGATGAAAATCCCTTTCCCTTCTTTTGCAATGTTTTTCATAGCTTCCTGGTTGGTATTACTCACTATTTGTCATTCTAAAGAGTAAAAGTTTACCCCATATCACATTTTTATCAATAGGATGAGTACAGATTTTTTAGTCTTGCTCTTTGCCAGTTTAGGGCTAGGCCATTATAAACCCTCATTTATAATACGCATATGGCTCTATGAAAATATGACCAATTTAGGTAAAAGTTTTAACCTACCGGTTTAGATATTAGAATACTTTTTATGGAACAATTCAACATATGTCCACAATTCCAAACATACAACGGATCACAATTCGGCCTTTAACATCAGGCTTTAAGAAGGTATTTCACAGGATTATGTTGGGCTTTTTGTAGAGAGAGTAGTAAAGAGTGATACTATTTAAATGTGATCTTATCAAAGTTTAATAAATCTCACCTTTTTCTCTTTGTCAGTTTTTCTTTTCTGTTATTGTTTGTTTTTAATTCTCACAGAGTGACTAATAAAATCAGTCACAGTGAAGCACTTGGCACTTAGTTTTAGACGGCAGTTATTGATACAGCAAGCTGAATCAATCTAAGGTGTGTATTAGAAAGGTGAGCATCATTATACACAGCTCCTGATGTGGATAGGATTGAGTTGGTTTTAAAATATCAATATTGGTACAGTGTCGGAGGTCTGCAAGTTAGTAAGAGAAGTGACAAAGCAGCATAATAAAAAGAACACACATAACTACCTAGGAAACTACAAATGACAGAATGTAAATACTATATGCTAAACATTTAAGTGTTTTGCAGGAAATCCTGCTGCTATAAGTGAATGAGCCATTGTGCTATTTTTGAATGCCAATCTCCAAGTTTTTGGAATGCAAGATAGTCAAAGGGATTAGCAAAATTGTGATAAACTCTGAAAGTCCCACTGGATGTAAAATCATTTTAGAGGTAATTAGAAGCAAGGTGCAATTACCAAATTAAGTATTCATATACTACTCCCCAAATATTTGGAATATTTATAACCAAGTTGGAATCATCTAAAGAGAAATCTCATTATTTCACATGGAATGTTCACTTGTGGCTGTGACTAAATTGTTTTCAGAAGTAGAAGGCTCTAATTACAAAGTCATTCATAAATCCCTAAATGCCTACCATAAATATAGTGACATCCAGCTAAATAAATAAATGCCCAAATATTATAAAATAATTGATTTTGCAAAGTAACACTGGCATAATACAACTTATACATGGAATTGACTATATCTCTGGAGAATCAGATTTCTCATCTGTAAGAAGAGAAACAATGCATATTTTACAGAAATGTTATAAGCAACTAAAATTCAATGATGCCAGGAAAGTGTGAGCAGAAAGCCAGGCTCTCTGGAAGTGCTAAAAAAAAATTATTAACCCAAGAATAAGTTCAAAATTCTCAGTCAGCTATTTAAATTCTCTTATATATTTTAAGACTTCTGCTCTGCAAAAGAAACTATTAGAAAAATGAAAGTCAAGCCACAGACTGAGATAAAATACTTTCAAAACACATATTTGAATAGAGTATTATTGTGGAATATAATTGAAAAACCCATTACAGAAATGATGAAGAAGTTTTAGCCAAAGATGGCATTAGTGCGGATAGATGTTAGATGACAGATACAAATTCTCAAAGCACAAGGGCTCAATATGGCTTTACTTCTTCCGCAAAGCCCAGTAAAAGTGCACTGATGTTATTATCCCTTATTTGGTACAGACAGATGATTTTCAAAAACAAAGATAACTTTGGGAGGCCGAGGCGGGCAGATCACAAGGTCAGGAGATCGAGACCTTCCTGGCTAACACGGTGAAACCCCGTCTCTACTAAAAATACAAAAAATTAGCTGGGCGTGGTGGCGGGCGCCTGTAGTCCCAGCTACTCGGGAGGCTGAGGCAGGAGAATAGCGTGAACCCACGAGGTGGAGCTTGCAGTGAGCTGAGATCGCGCCACTGCACTCCAGCCTGGGCAACAAAGCAAGACTCCATCTCAAAAAACAAAACAAACAAACAAAAAGATAAAAGTCCTAGAAAACAAAGCCACTCTACCCCAGGTTGATAATTACTGTGGACCACTATTTTTTCCAAGATAAAAAAAAATGGGTGAAAATATTTATGATACATTTAGCACCAAGTAAATGAATTTTCACACATAATGGAACACATACTGGACAGCTGAAAAGGAATATATTTTGTAGTCAGGATGTAAGCGTTCAGCTACATATTTGCCATTTCTACAAATACCCAAGGAGCAGTGTTGACTATGGAAGAGAAAACAATCCCTGTGATAATTCTCAAGCATGTTGCTTACTGAAGTCTGAAGTATAAAAACCAAGCTCTACTCATATAGGAAACAAAAAAACACTTTTCTCATCCTTGTTTATATTATCACAAGTCACCTACAAACAAATGGCCTTTTATAAAGTCACAGAGCAGTTTACCAGCGGGGTCTGGCCAGAGAAAATACAAAGAAATCATATTTAAGGGTCCACTTTCTCTATCTTTTTCACACTTTTCTAAAGCCCTGAGATATAAGTTATTTGGAATTTCTAAAATCATGCTGTGTATGACACACATTGCTCCAAAAGGATGAGCATTTGCAGGTACTTTTGTGTTCTTAGATCCTAAAAACCCAAATAGCTTTTCCCCAGGCCTGCCCTATGTTTGCATTTTTACTTCTCGTGTTGTTATTTTGAGCAAAGGAGATATTTCCCATAGTTCTATGCTATTGCTATATAGGGCATTCTTAATACAAAAGAGAGTCATGATGATAAGAACATGGCCTCAAAGTCAAAATAAGTGTGCCCTATCATTAGCAAACTAATGGCCTCCTAAAGAAGCTCACACCCTAATCCCTGGAAGTTGTAATGACTATATTCTATTATGCAGTAAAAAAGACCTTGCTTATGTGATTAAATTTGAGGATCTTGAAGTGAAAATGTTATACTGTATTCTCTTGGTAAGCCCAGTTTTATCACATGAGTCCTTAAAAATGGAATAAAGAGGCATAAAGGTAGGAAAGAGAGATGGCTGCACGAGAAGAATTGGTGCTGGTTATGTAGGGACCAAGGACCTGAGAAAGGCCTCTGAGAATTAAAGGAGACCCAACAGAGAGCCAGTAAGGAGATGGAGATTTCAGTCCTACAAATGCATGGATCTAAATTCTACCAATACTCCAATGAACAGCATACAGAACCTCCCCTAGATCCTCCAGAATGCAGCATTGCTAACAACTGAATCTTAGCCTTGTGTGATGTGTCAGACTTCTGACCCACAAAAATGTAACACAAAAAATGGTTTCACCAAACTACTAAGTTGGTGAAAAGTCACTACAATAGCAGAGGAAAACTAATAGAGGCTCAAACCCTGCTCTCTACTGTCTAGCCTTGGGAAAGTGACTGAAACTCTCTGAGCCTCAATTTCCTCATCAAGAAAATGATGATATTAACAGTATCTCAGATAATTGTGACAATAAAATCAGAAAATATACAAAACACTTCATATGCCTAGCATATGAAAAGCCTAATTAATATTAGTAAAAGCTTAATTAATATAAGGTTAATTAATATAAGTAAAAGCTTAATTAATATTAGTTGTGATTGCCCTTCTATGGAACCAATACTTTTAAAAATAGATTAAAAAGTCTTGTGTTCAAAAAGTCTGACAAAAGCTGGATTAACTTTTTAAATTTAATTGAGGTATAATTGATATATAAAACCTAAACATATTTAATTTATACAGTTTAGTGAGTTTGGACATATGATACACTGATAACACCACCACCACAATCAAGATAATAGACATTGTATTAATCTGTTTATTACAAGTTTTCTCAGAGCACTTAGTACATGCATATACTTGTTGAATTTCCAAGAGGATATATACTCTGCAGTGTTTTCTAAAAGTTTTGACTAGGAAACCTCATTTTGCAAATATCGTTTTGTACCTCTAAGAACATGCTTTGGGAAATGATGGACTAAATTTTGAAGACTCACATTGTTATGGACTGGATATTTGCGACCTACCAAAATTCATATGTTGTAGCCCTAATTCCCAGTGTGTTGGTACTGAGAGGCAGGGCCCTTGGGAGACAATTAGGTTTAGATGAGATCATGAGAGTAGAGCCTCCCTGATGGCATTAATGCCCTTGTAAGAAGAGGAAGAGACCATAGCCCTCTCTATTCCTCTCTCTACCATGTGAAGATATAGCAAGAAGACTGTATCCTATCTGCAAACAGGAAGGAGGGCTTTCAAAAGACACCAAATCTGCTGGTACCTTAATCTTGGACTTTCCAGCCTCCAGAAGTGAGAAATACATTTTTGTTGTTTAAGCTCCCAGTGTTTTGTAATCATAGTCTGAGCTGACTAAGGCACATAAAATGCAAACATCCTCTGAGAAGGGTAATATGTTAAGCGATTTATTATTAATGTTGTTGGTATAGGAATATAAAAACTTTAATAACTTATAAGTAATATTTATATTCTATTTTGATGAAAAAGCTTTGCTGGAATTTAGAGTCAAAGGGCTGGTGGAAATGATTATCAGAATATCAATCACGGCTAAAGTAGGTGAAAAAAATTCTGCCTGTCAAAACATCATGAATTAGAGTAGTCTGGAGATCTCTATATTGTTCACAAATACTGTGGAAGGAAGATTTTATCCCCAAGATTATCTACGACTCAAGGATACAGATGAAGTCAAGAGGCTTTGAAAAGTTATATCTTACTGTGTACAAAATGTTCTTTTCCAAAGTATGTTGATGATATAAAATAGGTTACACAGGTTTGGATGCAGCTGAAGAAAGAGATTATTGGCTTTCTATTGGCAAAAGTCATTATTCTAGAATCACAGAGTGGATGCTAGCCACAAAATAAACATTCTTTGCCATTTGCAGACTTTCTTCCTCATTCCTCCCCAGGAAATGTTTTAGATAATTGGCTATCACTAGGCTTAAGAGATCAGGGACCAATAAGTTGCACATGAAAACAAACCTCACTAGCAATAAAATGCACATGGTCCTAGTGATGGCTAATTTTATGTGTCAACTTGACTAGGCCACAAGGTGCTGAAATAGTTGGTCATTGTTCTGAGTGTGTCAGTGAGGCTGTTTCTGCATGAGATCAATATTTGTTTTTTGTTGTTGTTGTTGTTTTTTGTTTGTTAAACAAACAACTGTGTGCCCCAGACTGGAGTGCAGTGGCATGATCTCAGCTCACTGCAACTTCTGCCTCCCAGACTCAACTGATTCGCATGCCTCAGCCTCCTGAGTAGCGGGAACTACAGGTACGTGCCACCATGCCTGGTTAATTTTTGTATTTTTAGTAGAGATAGGTTTTCATCATGTTGGCCAGGCTGGTCTGGAACTCCTGACCTCAAGTGATCCTGCCCCCCTCGCAAAGCACTGGGATTACAGGTGTGAGCCACCGCACCTGGCCAATATCAACATTTGAATTAGTTGACTGAGTTAAACAGATTGCCCTCCCTAATGTGAGTGGGCTTCATCCAATCAATTAAAGTACTGAACAAAATTAAAAGGCTGAGTAAAAGAGAACTCTTTGTCCCTGACTACTTAAACAGAGACATTTGTCTTCTGCTCTCAAATTCAAAAGGAAACCTTAACTCTTATTGGGTCTCGAGCCTGCCAGCTTTTTGGACTGGAGTTTACTCCATTGTCTCTCCCCGTTTCCAGGTCTTTGGACTTAAACTGGAACTATACAGCAGCAGTCCTGAGTCTCTAGCTTGTTGACTATAGATTCTGGGACTTCTCAGCCTCTGTAATTACATGAGCCAATCCCTTATAATAAAGCTCTTTCTCCTTTTCTTTTTCTCTCTTTTTTCACACACACACACGCACACACACACACACACACACAGTCATGTGCTGCATAGTGAAGTTTCAGTCAGTGTTAGACTGCAAATACCATGGTGATCTCATAAGATTATAATGCACATGAAAAATTCCTATCACCTAGTAATGTACCCATCATAATACAGTAGTGCAATGCATTACTCATGTGTTTGTAGTGATGCTGATGCAAACAAATCTGCCCTGCCAGTCATTTGAAAGTATAGCACATTCAATTTTGCACTGAAGCAGCTACATTGTCTAGGGTATATATTCTGGGGTTCATCATCATGCACCAGGAAACTTTAGGACATGGACATACACAAAGTTTAGGAACAGAGGTTTAATAGGTAGAAGAGAAGAGAAAGAGAAACAGCTCTCTTTATAAAGAAAGGGGTCTCCAAGGAGAAAGGACCTGTGGCAGATGCACCAGATTTTATAGTCAGGTTTGAGGAGGCGATGTCTAATTTACATAGGGCTCACAGATTGGTTCAATCAGGTATGACGTTTACATAGTGCACAGTGAAGGCTGGCCACCCCACCCAAATCTCATTATGCAAATGAACTTTCCAGCTGATCCCTGCCATCTTGTCTGCTCCTTACTATACATGTGGCTGGCAGAGAAGGGAAGGTGGAGCTGCCATTTGGAACATGTCTCTCCCTGGTTCCTGCCAGCATTCACCCCTGCAAGCTCCCAGCTTGCTTGTCTATGTCTTTAGCTCGACTTTACAGGCTGCTTTTTGTTAGAAAATGACTTGGAGCTGCTTTTCATTAAAAAAAAAAAAAGCCTTACCAAAGACTCCCATACCCTTACTATCTGCCTGAGTAATTTCCTCTTAACTCCTGTATCAGTAATACTCCTGTACCTGTAATAATTGATAACAATAATAAACAACTATGTTACTGGTTTATGTATTTACTAGAGTATACTTTAATCATTATTTGAGAGTATAATCCTTCTACTTACAAAAAAATGTTGACTGGGAAATAGACTCAGGTTGGTCTTTCAGGAGGTATTCAAGAAGGCATTAGTATCATAAGAAATGACAGCTCCATGCATGTTATTAACCCTGAAGAGCTTCTAGTGGAACAAGAAAAGAAGGTGGAAGACAGTAATATTGATGATCCTGACTATGTGTAGCTGTAGGCCAATATGTGTGTTTGTGTCTTTGTTTTTTCAAAGTTTTAGGATTAAAAAGCTTTAAAAGTTAAAAAAATTTTGAAATCAAAAATAGAAAAAAGCTTATACAATAAGCATATAAAGAAAGAAAAATTTTGTACAGTGCATAATGTTATTTTCAGTTTTGTCATCATAAAAGAGTCAAAAAGTTTTAAAAAATTAAAAAGCTTATGAAGTAAAAAACTTACAGTAAGCTAAGGTTAATTTATTATTGAAGAAAGAAAAACATTTAAAAATAAATTTAGTGTAACCTAAGTGTACAGTATTTATAAAGTCTGCAATCATGTACAATAATGTCCTTGGCCCTCACATTCCCTCACCACTCACTCATTGACTCATTCAGAGCAACTTCTATTCATAGTAAGTGCCTTATCCAGGTGTATTATTTTGTACCTTCCATACTGTATTTTCAGTGTACCTTTTCTATGTTTAGATATATTTAGATACACAAATACCATTGTGTTACAGTTGTTTACAGTATCCCATACAGTAACATGCTGTATAGATCTGTAGCCTAGGAGGAATAGGCTATATCAGATAGCCAAGGTGTATAGTAGGTTATAGCACATAGATATGTATATGTAAACTCTTTGAGGTTCACACAACAAAAAAATTTCCTAATGATGCATTTCTCAGAACATTATCATTAAGTGATGCATCTATCTAGACAGATATCTAGATATAAATTGATTTGTCTATATCTATATATATTTACATCTACATCTATATCTATATCTAGAGAGAGAGAAGTACATGTATGTATGTACATATTTTCTATTGGTTATGTGGTTCTGTTTCTTTGGAGAACCCTAACTAATACAGATTTTGGTACTTAGAGTGGTTCAAGAGGAATAGTGTTTTAAGGATGAGGTTTCTGAACTGGTTCTGAGTTTTCTGGAATTGGCTCTTTAATCTGATTATATTTAAAGATGCTAATGACCCTATTTCCAGTAGCAAAGAGAGCACTCATAGTCCATGGTGTGACCTGGCAGTAGAGATACATAAAATATCTACATTGAATGCAACCACTTATAAGAAGCAAGGATCTGGATGACTACGTATATGATACTTTTGAATATTTTTGGCAAACTAACAAATATAGTGAAGTTGGCTGTTTGTTCCCAACATCACTGGGCAAAGTGGGAAAAGAAAAACATCTCAGATCCCAGCTCAAGTACTGCATGAATTCAGTCAAAAGGCATTTCAATCTGTCATCCACATTTCCTGCTTTTTCTATTTTATTTTACTCAAGAGCACCATGTCTTATCTATATTCTCTGAAGGCCTTTCTTGATTGTTATAGTGTAGTCTTCCCACAGTGCAAGGCCAAACTCTTTTTCCTTAATTAACAAATATATCAATTTTGAGTCAGTTCAATTTCTATTAATATTACTCAGCTTCCATTTATTAATTTACAAAATGGAGAAACATACCACTTTTCAGGTCCTGGTAAAAATAAAATGAGAGACATAGAGTAAACATTGTAGACTGGCCTAATGTAAGAACTTTTGTAATCATTCAAAATGTTAAAATACTGAATAAAATATAAAAAACAACAATAAGGGCTGGGCACAGTGGCTCATGCCTGTAATCCCAGCATGCTGGGAGGCCGAGGCAGGTGGATCACTTAAGGTCAGGAATTTGAGACCAGCCTGGTTGACATTGTGAAACCCCATTTCTACTAAAAATATAAAAATTAGCCAGGCCTCATGGCGGGCACCTATATTCTCAGCTACTCAGGAGGCTGAGGCAGGAGAATCACTTGAACCTGGGAGGTAGAGTTTCCAGTGAGCCAAGCTCATGTCACTGCACTCTGCACTCCAGCCTGGGTGACAGAATGAGAGTTCGTCTCAAAAACAAAAACACAAACAACAAAAACAGTGAAAGTTAAACACATACAGCTAAATTAGAAAACTATAAACTCCTATGGAAACAAACAAAAACTTCAAGTGGTGACAGTAAAACAGAGGTTCAATCTGAAAGGCTCATGATTATATTGAAACCAAGAGAGATACTTTAACATCTAGAGTATGAACTTCTCACGCTGTTGAGAAACACCACATAAGGCCTCCAGGTCATGTCAAAAAGGTTGCTGCATTCAAAATAACAGCACCAAGACAAAAGGACAAGGAACTGGCTCCCTGTGAAGCAAGAACCAGAAAAATGAGTTCACTCACTTCCCTGGGAAGAGGCAAAGAAGTTTATTAAGTTTACAAAGCAGCTAATAGAAGGCTGTGAAGGAAGATGAGATGAGCCCATCATGCTTGTGCCTCACAGGACACCAGAAGCCACATTTATTTCATCCAACTGGATACTGAGAAATTAACAGAAGAACTGGTCCATATCTGGTGAAAAGTAGAAGGTCCCATCAGAATAAAAATAGGAACTACCCTATAACTGAACTCTTGCTTTGATTAAGGCAAGTGTTATTCCCATGGAAAACAAATCCATAGAAAATGACCTTAAAATAAATGACCTATAGGAGGAAATGACTCAGAGTGATTGGAGTATTAACTAAATCAGAAATCCTCAAAGTTACACCCTAAGAAGGAGAGATAACAAAACAATCAGAAAGAGACTTTTAAATGCATATATTGAAAATCTTCATGATATAAAGAAAGGGAAAAACAAGCATGAAAAGGAAGAATTTAAAAATAAACCAAATATAATTATTTAAATATGTATATATACATGCACATACACATATGTAATACATATGAATGTATACACATATGCTTTGAAATAAAAAAGCAACTCTGGTTCAGACAGTAGACTAGATAAAGTTGAAGACAAATAAATGAAAAAGAGGGTAGATCTCAGGAGTGGCACATATTAGCGCACACATTGATGGAAAATAAGAGGCAGAAGTCAAGTGATATGAAGGTAGACTAAAAGCTTCAATATGCAAGTGAAAATATAAATAGAATGAGAGGGAATTTCTGAAGAAATAATTATTGTGAATTTTTCCGAATAGATGTGATACCTAGTAAGAAGAGTCTCTGAAAAGAAAAGACCAGACATTGAATGCTTTGATAAGGAAATGGTTAGGATTTTTTTGGAGTGCAATAACATTTGCTAAAATAGAAGAGATAAATTTAGGCAATGTAAGATTCAAGTGAGTCTAAGCAGGTGCTTGAATTTAATTCATCAAGTAAATACAATTAATGAGAAATTATTCAGCAGGAAACTAAGATTATCAGACTTACGACTTTGAAAAGGTAATGTTATAATATTTCAGAGTGGGATGTTGGTGGAGAGAGTAGGATGTTGTGGGTACCAGAAAGTAGAAGTGATCTAGAAATATTATGTTGAAAATCTTAAGTGTACATTGGCAGCAGGAATTAAATGAATTGGGGAGAATTGAGGCCAGTCACACAGGTATTAATTAGCAATATTCTAAAAAGAATAACAAGACTCTAGCAACTATGTAAATGGGATTGTTAAAAATAACTTAGAGATTCAGATGTCAGTCATTTGGAAATGACAGTTACAAAAAAAGAAACATTTAAGTCAGGAGTGGAAACAGGGTTATATTCTAATTTTGTTATTTTCAATGGGAGATAGGGTTTAAGGGGAGGAGGGAAGGAGAGAGGAGGAGAAACAATTATTTCAATGTTGAGTATATTGTATTTGAGTATATATCAGGTAGTTAATGTTCAATTGTCAATAATAACAGGGAGTTTGGAGGCACAAGAACAAATTTAGGCCAGGTGAAAGAAGTATGAATTATTGTCAAGAAGTACTATATGTAATAATTGCAATCATAAAATACAGCCAAGAACAGATATTGGGGGAAATCTATTGATAACTTTTATGTACTCCCACAACATGAAACATTCTATCTTGGACATAAACTGTTCTCAGAAAATGATGTTATTTTTGTTGACACATAATTTGTGTACATATTTGTTGGGTATATGTGATATTTTGTTGCATACATAGAATGTATCATGATCAAGTCAGGGTATTTAGGATATCTACCACCTCAAGCATTTATCATTTCTATTTGTTGGGAGTATTTCATGTCCTCTCTCCTAGCTATTTTGAAGTATACAATACATTGTTAACTATAGTTACTCTACTCTGCAATCAAACATTAGAATTTATTTTCTCTGGCCGGGGTGCAGTGGCTCACGCCTGTAATCCCAGCACTTTGGAAGGCCAAGGTGGGCAGATCACTGGAGGTCAGGAGTTCAAGACCAGCCCGGCCAACATGGTGAAACCCCATGTCTACTAAAAATACAAAACTAGCTGGGTGTGGTGGGGAGCACCTGTAATCCCAGCTACATGGTAGGCTGAGATGGGAGAATTTCTTGAACCTAGGAGGCGGAGGTTGCAGTGAGCTGAGATCCCACCACTGCACTCCATCCAGCCTGGGCAACAGAGTGAGACTCTGTCTCAAAAAAAAAAGAAAGAATTTATTTTTTCTATCTAACTGTATGTTTGTGCCCATTAACCAACCTCTCTTCATCTTCCCTTTTCCCCTCAACACACAAACAAACACCTTTTCAGCCTCTCATAACTATCATTGTACCCTCTACCTCCATGAGATCAACTTTTTTAGCACCTACATATGACTGAACAGGTGGAATATTTGTCTTTCTGTGCCTGGCATATTTCAATTAACATAATGGCCTCCAGTTCCAACTATGTGGCTGGAAATGACATAATTTTATTCTTTTTTTATAAACAAAGATTATTCCATTGTGTATAAATATGACATTTTCTTTATCCATTTATTCACTGATGGACACTTGGATTGATTTCATACCCTTGCTATTGTGAATAGTACTGCAATAAACATAGGGTGCAAGTATCTTTCCGACATACTGGTCTTCTTTCCATTAGATCAATAGTCAGGAGTGGGATTGCTGGATCATAATAAGGTACTTCTATTTTTAATTTTTTGAGAAAACCTCCATACTGTTTTCCATAATGGCTATACTAATTTATATTACCACTAAAAATCTTTAAGAGTTCGCTTTTCCCTACATCCTTGCTGGCATCTGTCTTTTTTTTTTTTGTCTTTTTGATAATAGCCATTCTACTTGAAACAATATGATATCTCATTATGATTTTGATCTTCATTTCCATGATGATTGGTGATGTTGAACATTTTTTCATATACCTCTTGGACATTTGCATTTCTTCTTTTGAAAAATGTCTATTCAGGTCATTTGCCCACTTTTTAATAGGATTACAAATTTCCCTGTACATTCTGAATATTTGTCCTTTATCACATGAATAGTTTGCAAATTTTTTTTTCATTTTCAACAGGTCGTCTTCACTCTATCGCTTTCTTTCTTTTTTTTTTTTTTGTAACTCTGAAGGAGCTTTTTAGTTTAATATAGTTCCATTTCTATATTTTTGGTTTAGTTGTCCGTGCTTTTAAGTTCTTAACCATAAAATATTTGCATGAGTTGTCCAGGTTCTTGGCATTTTGAACAAGGAATTGAACAAAATGCACAAAGTAACAAAGGAATGAAACACAAGAATAGCAAAAGCAGAGATTTATTAAGGCAAGAAAGTACTCCACAGGGTGGTAGTGGGCCCGAGCAAGTGACTCAAGGCCCAGTTACAAAGCTTTCTGGGTTTTAAGCACTCTTTTTGAGGTCCCTATAGGTTACCACTTATCTGGGTGAAGGATTTGGTCTGTTGCTAATTAATGACTGAGGTGAATTGGTGCCCCATGTGTGCTTGGCTGTGTCTAATCCAGGGCACTTTCCCTTTCCATCTGAGATGTGGTGGAAGGGGAAGGATTGTAGGGGGAGTAGCCTTTGATCCCTTGTTACTCGGTGTGGGAAGATGGGGTTTTTCCTTTTGGTTTAGCTTTAGGAAGTTTGTGTTAATTGGCCTTAGGTTCCCTGCCCCCAGACAAACGTGGTTTCCTTTAACTTTAGGGAATTATCATGAATTGGCCTTCAATCCTGTCCCCCAGACTTTTGTGATTTCCCTTGATTCAGTTTTAGGAAGTTAGCACAAATTGGCCTTAGATTCCTTGCCTCCAGATCCTATTCTCTTGCCTCAATAGGGGTCTAATTTCATAGTTCTACATATGGATGTTCATTTTTCTCAGCACCTCTTATTGAAGGAGTCTTTCCTCAATGTATGTTCTTGGCACCTTTGTCAAAAACCAGTTGGCCATAAATATATGAATTTATTTATCAGTTCTTTGTTCTGTTCTGTGTGTCTGTTTTCATGCAAATACCATGCTGTTTTGATTACTACAGCCTGGTAATATATTTTAAAGTCAGACAGTGTGATGCCTCCAGCTTTGTCCTTTTTGTTCAGGATTGCTTTGGATATCTGGGTTCTTTTTTGTTTGCATACAAACGTTAGAATTTTTTTAATGCTTTTTCTGTTTCTTCTTTCTCTTTTTTTTCTATTTCTGTGAAAAAAAATGTCATTGGTATATTGACAGGGTCTTTTGTCATTGGTATTTTGTCATTGGTGTTTTACAGATTCAATTTACATTTGCAAATTGCTTTGAGTTGTATGGTTAACCTAGACACTAGGTTAATGGTTCTTAAGTTTTTGTGAATCTGAGATTGCTTTAAGAACTTGTAAAAAATGTAAATGCTGATTTTGATAAAAATTACACACTCTCACACAGAAGCATACAAAACATTTAAAAGGTTACATACAATTTCCAAGGGGTCACAGACTTCCTGAAACCTGAACAGCTTCAAAAAGCCTGATCAAAGACTCATTATTACAGAGCAGAAAATCATCCTTAGGTTTGTTCCTATTGAATTAGTCAGATGAATATATGAATAAAGCACCAGACAAATATAAACCCAGTGCTTACAAATGAATCATGAGCCTATCTAGTATACCCAAATGACTGAATAAACTAACTGTAGCTTTCAGATTCAAATGAATGTCTCATGTTTCACATTAAAGATGAACAGGAAAATTCCAACTCTTACATTTTTTCAATCTCATTAAAATAATTATAAAAAAACTATAAAAAAGAGAAATAGAGGCAGTGTCTCTGAATTAAGCAAAACTTGCAAAAGGATACACACAATATGACATCAGAACAATAATTTAATAGTATATATTTTTGTATAATATTGCATCATATACATCATGCAGAATGAGGGAATATATATAAAGGAGACAGTCTTTAGCTCTATCTTTAATGTGTGACTTTGTGTGTGTGCGTGTTCATGTGTGTGTGTGCTTAAAATGTATAAATATTTTCCAAAGTAATCTACACACTTACTAATTGTATGTTTAAAGATTTATCAAATGTAAATTAAAGTAACTGTGTTCAGTGATTAGTGGTTTGTATCTTAATAGATAACCCTCTGCAACCAAATCCAACTGAACTTCAAATATACCCATGCAATGGATATAATCATGTCCAGCATCACAAATATATCAATCTAAACTCTTTTTCCTAAAATTAGTTATAAGATCCACTTCATATTTGAATGTCACAACATGCTATTGTATCTTATTCTTTTTTTCACTGAATAATATTCCATGTTATGGTTGGTCACACCACTTTTATTTATGTATTCATCAGTTGATAAATATTTAGTCTTTTTTCTCCTTTTTGATTATTATGAATAATTCCGCTATGAACAAGTTTGTGTGTGGACAGATTTCTTCATTTCTCCTACATTTGTACCTAGGAGTGGAATTGGTGGATCATATAGTAACTCTGTATTTGATCATCTGAGGAGCTGTTAGATTGATTCCTAAAGTGGCTGCACTGTTTTGCATTCTCACCAGCAATGCATGAGGGACCCAATTCCTCCATATTCTTGTCATCCAAATAACTGTAAAGTGATATCATATTGTGGTTTAAATTTGTATCTTCCTAGTGGCTAAAGATATTGAGTATCTTCTGATGTCTTTATTATCCATTTGCATACCTTTTGAGAAAAAAAGTGCTATTTAAATTATTCTTTTGAAATTATTTGTCTTTTTTTGTTAAGTTGCAACAATTCTTCATATATTCTGGACATGTTTCACTAATGTTTTCTTTTATTCTATGGGTATGATCAACTTTGAGTTACTTTATGTGTATGATATGCTTGTGGGGATCCACAGGCATTCTTTTGCGTGAGGATACCCAGTTGCCCCCATGAATTTTCTTCAGCACACTTACTGAAAATCGTTTGACCAAATCTTTAAAAGTTTATTCTGGACTCTCAATTCTATTCTAGTAATCTACATAACTATCCTTATGCCAATACCAGCGTGCCTTGACTATGCCAGCTTTTAATAGGTTTTGAAATTGAAAGTGTGAGTCTTTTAACTTTGTTCTTCTTCAAGATGGTTTTAATTATTCTGGAACACTTACAGTACTGTATGAATTTTAGAATCAGCCTGTCAATCACTAGAAAAAAAACTAGCTAAAATTTTTGGTAGGAATTGTGTTGCATCTGAAGATCAGTTTTGTCATTATTGCCATTTTAACAATGTTAAGTCTTCCAATCCATAATCCAAAAAAGGTATTTTTATTTATGTCAATTTCTTTAATTTCTTTCAAACGTGTTTTCAGTTATAATATATGCACTTAATTTGTTAAATTTCATTTTAAAAATTTTGTTTTATTTGTTGTTAGAAGTAGAATGTTTTTCGCAATTTCATTTTTGTTTGTTTTAAACAACTGTATTGAAATATAATTCACTTATCATATAGTACATCCACTTAAAGTATGTAACCCAATCATTCTTAGTATGTTCACAGAGTTGTGCAACTATCACCAGAATACATTTTAGAACATTTTCATCACACAAAAAAAGAAAATCCATTATCATTAGTAGTAAATCACCAATTCTCTCCCCACCTCCACCTATCCTTTTTCCCACCTCTGGGCCCAGATAATCACTTATCTAATTTGTCTCTACATTCATCTGTTCTGGACACATTTTAAAAATGTTTCTCCTATTTAACTGTAATTACATGTTTTGGATTATTAACTGCTAATATGTAGAAATACAATAGACTTTTGTATATGGATTTTGTTTCCTGCCTTATTGCTACACTTTTATTAGTTAAAATAAGGGTTTTTTTTAAAGGTGATTTTCTTATGATTTTCAGTATAAAAGATATGTCGTCTCAAATAAAGGTAGTTTTACTTTGTCTTATCCCTCTGGATGCTTTTGCTTCCCTTTCCTTGCCCAGTTTCCCTGGCTAGATTCTCTAGTGTAATGTTAAATAAAAGTTGTAAGAACAGACATCCTTGTCTTATTCGTAATTTTAGGGAAAAGCATTCAATTAAGTATGATGTCAGAAGCAGATTTTTCTTACAGGTATCTTTTATAGGTTGAGTAAGTTCCTTTCTATTTCTAATATGTTATAGGTGTTTATTATAAAATAACCTGAGGTTTTATTTTTAAATGATTTTCTGTATATATGGAGATAATCATGTGGTTTTTATCCTTTATTCCACCATTAGGTATACCAATTTCCTAGTGATGTTGTCACAAATGCCTAAAAATCTGGAAGTGGCTTTGAGATTGGGTAATGGGGAGAGGCTAAAAGAATTTTGAGAAACATGGTAGATAAAAATTAGTTTGCCTTGAACAGACTATTCATTGAAATATGAATGTCAATGATTCTGCTCATTAGAGTTCAGAAGAAAGTGAAGAGTACAGCAAAGAAAATATATATTATGTTAGAGATATTTAAGTTGTCATTAACTACTGGTAAAAATATGGATATTAAACCTGCTGCTGTTGTGTGCTCACAAGAATACAAGAAGCATATTTGTGGGAACTGGAGGAAAGGGGATTTATCTAAAAAGTGTAACTTGTAATAGTTAGCTTCGCTATGTAGCCGAGGGGATTTCCCAGCAAACTGTTGAAGATGTGGTTTGGTTTCTTCTTGCCCTTATAGTAAAAAGCAAGTGGCAAGAAATAAATTGAGGGAAGATCTGGTAAGCAAAATGAAATCAGAAACTGATAATTTAAGAAATTATCAGGCTATTCATTTTGCAAAAGATGCTAAAATTAACAGATTCACTGTCAAAAAAGCACACTCTAGAGAGAAAGGGTATGCCTGGATGAATTTATCAGTGCATTGGAAGGATACAAATATCAAAGTGTTCAGTCACACAGAGGACTCCTTGAAGAGATTAGGCACTTAACTCATAGATCCCTTTAGCCCTATCAGGAAAAGCCACGAATCGAGCTGGAAATATCCAGGAGAAATCTATGGAAGAATTTTTTGTCTAATTGAGCAAATCCCTGTGCCATGCATGGAAGATCTACTGGTATTTAAAGATTTACTTCCAGCAGAAACACTGTTGAGCTTGGAACTAAAGGGTCAGTGTGAGGATGAAACCAAAGAAGGCTACCAGACCTCTAAAATTCTACAGTTAGTAAACAGACATGAAACTGCTCAGCTATCAACAGGTGCTGCCCTTCATAGGGGGAAAAAAGACCACTCAGAAACTGAAATTTTGAGCCACAGAGGATTATTCCTAGGGTTATTCCCAGGCCTTAAAACCTAATGGAATTTGCCCTTCTGTATTTCAAAATTATTTTTGAAGCAGTGACAAGATTTTTACTTCCACTTTGACCCTTTTGAAATGTCTATAAGTGGTATCTTAAGTCTGTCCACTATGGTATTTTGAGAAAAGATAATTTGTCTACTTTCCCAGGTTCACACTGAAATAAATTTTGCCCCAATGTTGATGATGCCCAGAATATAGCCCATACCTGATTCTGACAATTTAGACAATGAAATTCTGGATGTTAGAGTGGATGATACTTAGATAAGATTTTGGACTTTGAATAGATGCTCAGTGGGTTGAGACCTTGAGGATGTTGCAATGGGGAGAATATATTTTGCAAGTCAGATGGCTAGAAACCTTTGGAGGACAGAGGGTATAATGTAACAGGTAGAATAATGGCCACTCAAATATATCCATGTCCTAATTCCTAGACCCTATGAATATGTTACCCTACATGATAAAGGGTCTTTGCAGATTTAATCAAGTTGAGGGTTTTTAGATGAGAAGATCATCCTGAATTTTCTAGGCAGGTCGAATGTAATCACAAGAGTCTTTATAATAGGAAGGCAAGAATGTCAAAGGTAGTAGAAGGTGATGTGACAATGGAAACAGGATATGAAAAAGCGGTGTGATGCGGGGCCACGAGCCAAGAAATAGACAGCCTCCAGAAACTGGAAGAGGCAAGAAAAAGGATTTTCCCCTAGAGCTTCTGTTATAGTGGGTAACTAGTCAAACATGAGCAGGGCAGAAGAGGGCCCTCCACCACCTCCAGGAATGTCAGGCAACCATCAGGCGATGGTCAGGAAGTTGTTAAGCTGTCTCTCTAAAAATAATAATTGGTTGCAGCTAGCACTGCAGAAGTGCACTCTCCTGGTAGATAGAAAAACCTGAAACTGGTGATCAGCTTTTGAATAAGATGAGTTAGGTAAGTGGGCTCAAGCATGCACTGCGCACTAAGAGGCAAAATGGCAGAGTTTAACTGGCATATGACCTTCCTCTAGGAACACTGAACTGGTAAGGGAAAAATGCCTGGTTTTATGCCAAGGTATAAAACCCCAAGTTCAAGGTCAAAGAGTGCATTTGAATCTCAAATCACACGCTTGGTTCTCTTCCAAGTGTACTTTGCCTCCTTTGGTTCCTGCTCTAATATTTTTTAATAAGCTTTCACTCCTGCTCTAATACTTGCCTTGGTCTCTCCCTCTGCCTTATGCCCCTAGGTCAAATTCTTTCTTCTGAGGTGGCAAAAATTGGGGTTCCTTTAGATCGTATCGATTTGCTACTGGTAACATATTTTGATGCCACCTGACTGGGATATTTTCCCTATGCTAACACCTCCAAAAAAAAAAGGAAGAAGCTTACAGAAACCTTGACTTTAGCTCAGTGAGATCGATTTTGGACTTCCGACCCCAGAACTGTAAAATAATAAATTTATATTGTTTTAAGCCACTAAATTTGTGATGATTTGTTACAGAACTAATGGGAAATAATGGTGTGTTACCTTGATTGGTTTTGGGTTGTTACACCAACCTTGTATTTCTGTAGTAAATCTCCCTTGATGATCATGTATAATCCTTTCTAAATATTGCTAAATTCAGTTTAGTAGTATTTTGTTGAGGTCTTCTGCCCTTATATTCATGAGGAACGTGTGTGTGTGTGTGTGTGTGTGTGTGTATATATATAAAATATATATAATATATATAAAATATATATATAATATATAGAAAATATATATTATATATAAATATATTATATATTATATATATAATATATATTATATATTATATATATAAATATATATATAAAATATATTATATATTATATATATAATATATATATAATATATTATATATTATATATATAATATATATATAATATATTATATATTATATATATAAATATATATATATAATATATTATATATTATATATATAAATATATATATATAATATATTATATATTATATATATAAATATATATATATTATTTATTGCGGCATTATTCACAATAGCAAAGACTTGGAACCAACCCAAATGTCCAACAATGATAGACTGGATTAAGAAAATGTGGCACATATACACCATGGAATACTATGCAGCCATAAAAAACGATGAGTTCATGTCCTTTGTAGGGACATGGATGAAATTGGAAATCATCATTCTCAGTAAACTATCGCAAGAACAAAAAACCAAACACCGCATATTCTCACTCATAGGTGGGAATTGAACAATGAGATCACATGGACACAGGAAGGGGAATATCACACTCTGGGGACTGTGGTGGGGTGGGGGGAGGGGGGAGGGATAGCATTGGGAGATATACCTAATGCTAGATGATGAGTTAGTGGGTGCAGCACACCAGCATGGCACATGTATACATATGTAACTAACCTGCACAATGTGCACATGTACCCTAAAACTTAAAGTATAATAAAAAAAAGAAAACAAAAAAAAGAAAACATAACAAACAAAAAATATATATAATATATATATAATTTATATAATATATATTATATATATAATATATAATATATATAATATATAATATATAATATATATAATATATAATATATGTATATAAAATATACATTATATATAATATATATAATATTTGGGATGTAGTATTGTTTTTGTACTGCTTTTGTTACCAAGATAATACTAATCTCATAGATAAGTTGGAAATTCTCTTCTCATATTTTTTCAAAGTGTTGTGAAATGTGTTATTAATTATTCTTTAAATATTTGATAGCATTTACCAATAAAGCCATATAGACTTGGTTCTTCTTTGTTGGACATATTTATTATTATTATTATTACTAATTCAACCACAGCTTTTATAGGATTATTTACATATGTATGTCTTCTTGAGTCCATTTCAGTAGATTTTGTCTTTCTAGGAATTTGCCCATCCCATCTGAGTTACCCAATTTCTTGGCATAAGTTGTTGGATATTTCCTTATTACTCACTTTATATCTGTCAAGTCCCTCTTTCACTCCTGACTTTTGTAATTTGAATCTTCTATCTTTTTTTCCTTGGCCAGCCCAGCCAAGCTTGACAATTGTGTTGATCTTTCCAAAGAATAATCTTTTTGTTTCATTGACTTTCTCTATTATTTTTTCTATTCTCTTATTAATTTCTTTTCCTGTAATAATAATTCCTGTAATTATTATTATTTTTCTCCTTCTTGCTTTGGGTTTAGTTTGCTCTTCTTTCTTCAGATTCTTAAAGTGGAAGTTCAGGTTATTGAATTGAGATTTTTTTAAAAAAATATGGTCACTTACGGTGATTAACATCCCTCTTAACATTGCTTTAGCAGGATCCCATGTGTTTTGAGATATTGTGTTTCATTTCCATTTTTTTCAAAGTATTTTCTAATTTCCTTTGAATTCTCCTTTGCCACATTAATTATTTAGAAAAGTGTTATTAAATTTCTACATGTTAGTGAATTTCTCAAATTTTCTGCTATTGTTGATTTCTAATAATTTAATTCCATTTTGGTTAAAGAATATACTTTGTATTTCCATTTTCTAAAATTTATTGAAGCTTATTATATGGCCTAACATAAGATCTATCCTGAAGAATGTTTAATATGAGCTTGAGAAAAATATGTATTCTTCTCTTGAGTAGAGTATTCTATAAATGCCTATCATGTCTGATTGGCTTATAGTATAGTGTTGTTCAAATCTTTTATTTTCTTGTTAATTTTCTCCCTTATTATTCTATTCATTACTGAAAATCAGGTATTGAAGATCATAATTATTATTGTTAAATTGTCTATCTCTCCTTCTAATTCTGTCAGATTTTGCTTCATATGTTCTGGGACTCTGTTGATAGGTGATACATATTTATAATTCTTATATCTTCCTGATGTCTTAACCCTCTTATCATGACAAAATGTCCTTTTTTTCCTCTAGTAACAATTTTGTTTCAAAGTCTATTTTGTCTGATTTTAGGACAGCCATGTTAGTTTTCTTTTGGTTGACATTTCCATGTAAACCTATACATTTTTTCCTTTCAACTTCTTTGTATATTTGAATCTTAAGACTGCATCTTGTAGACAACATATCCATTCTGCCTATTTTTATCTTTTGACTGAGATGTTTAACCCACTTACATTTAATGTAATTGCTGATAAGGTAGAATTTATGTCTGCCCTTTTGTTATTTATTTTCTTTATGTCTTGTGATTGTTTTTCTCTAACTTCTTGATTCCTTGATTCCTGACTTTTTTTGTTAAGTATATATTATCTAGCTTACCTTTTTTATTTTTTTGATGTTTTACTATAAGTTATTTTTGTAGTAGTTGTTCTGGAGATGACAATTAGCACCTTAAGTTAAAACAATCTACTTGGTGAATGCTAATTTCAGTAGTATACAAAAAATTATTCTAAACCATCCCTATTCCCTCTCCTTCTTTAGTACAAATGATATCTGTATACATTGCATGCCGTTAACACTTTTTTTGTTTTGTTTTTCTGATATGGAGTCTCGCACTGTCGCCCAGGCTAGAGTGCGGTGGCGCGATCTCGGCTCACTGCAAGCTCCGCCTCCCGGGTTCACGCCATTCTCCTGCCTCAGCCTCCCCAGTAGCTGGGACTACAGGCGCCCGTCACCATACCTGGCTAATTGTGTGTGTGTGTGTGTATTTTTAGTAGAGACTGGGTTTCACCGTGTTAGCCAGGATGGACTCGATCTCCTGACCTTGTGATCCCACACGCCTCGGCCTCCCAAAGTGCTGGGATTACAGGCGTGAGCCACCGTGCCCAGCCGACACTTTTATGTTTATAGTTATTCAGTTGTCTTTTCAAACACGTTAGAGAAAAAAAGAATTACAAACACAATTACATTTATACTGTTTGTTATAATACCTATGCTGCTACCATATAAAGTATTATTTTTACATTTTCCTTTAATTCTACATACATCATTTTCTACAATTCTTTGAATACATTTTAATATTTATACATATAATTCGCTTCTCTAAAGTCCTCTACTAAGTTCAAAATCTGGCCCCACTCAGGGGCATTTTATGTTGGCTACTAAAACAAAAAAAAAAAACCTGTGCATGATGAACATGCTTTCCTTTCTCTTCTCTTGTATTTTTTGTTACAAAGTTGTTTTTGTAACAGTTGTATCAAAAACAACTGGTATCAGATTGCTCCACCTCCCACCGAGCCACCCTCTGAATGATTCAAACAGCTATTTGAGAATGGAAATTTTGTCTGAAAGTTCAGACAAAATATTGACTTTGCACTGGGGATGATGTTTTTAATGGGTCTCCAAGAGTGGTCTGATCTTTTCATTGTCTGCAATGCTTCTAGCTTTTGCATACTACACAACAAAATAGGGGAGGGAGGGAGGGAGAGAAGATGAGAATGTTCCTAAATTAAAACATTGCAGCTCTTACTGTCTTTAAAAAGAGTTCAGTAGTTTTTCTTGGATACATGATTTTCAGTTTATTCTGTGGCTTTGGTTAATTGCTAAAGTTCTGAAATGACTGGTTTTAGTTGTTTTGCTTGTATTTTGTTTGCATCTTTGTTTTAGAGGGAAAGTGAGTTAAATCAGTGTCTTCACTCTGCCATTCTGTATGTTGATCCTCCCTGGTTAACACCTACTTTAAAACGTATATATCTCCAAGCATGTTATCAGTCCTGTGCAATGTCTGTAAACTACAGAACACAATTAAATTTGATGTTCACATTTTCAGAAAACCTGTGTTCATTTTGAAAAGAGAAAGAAAATTTAAACAGGTAAGTAGTATAGTTAACAAGGAAGAAGCAAAGATACATGGGTAGAATTTCCTCTCTTTTATTGGTATTCAGTTAAACTTCATAAAAAAGAAATGAAATAGGTCTTAAAAGGGATATTACATACTGATCCCAAATAAGATTTATCAGATGGAGGAGCCAGCAGCCACTTCTGTATCTTAACTTACTTTTCAATTTTATAATTCATAAAACACTCACCAAGGCGTGACACAAGTTTGGAGTTCAAGCACAGTGCACTTTACTTTGCAAGATCCATTAAAAGCAATAATTTGTAATATCCTCAATAGGAAACTGTGCATTTTTAAAGAAATACTTCAAAGAGAGAAGCAGGACCCCTTAATCTAATTTTATGTAAAAAGTAATCTCATTTTCATCTGTGGCCACTTCTCTCTTATGATTAGGTTGAAGTTAGAGGACTGTGAATGAAATGAGCAGCACCCCTTCATGTCAGTAGCTCTTTTCGGCAAATATGGAATAACAGTCTGGCTTTGCCCTGGGGAGGCATCAGTAGCTCTCACAGTCTCTACAGGAATGAAGTAGACTTTGATTTTGAACTCATCTGCTCAGTGCCATCTTTCTCTGTCTGTTTCTTCTTCTTAGTCACTTAAAGTTCCGAGCATGAGCAAAGCTACTAGACAAGATTCACATATTTCTCAACATTACCCTACCAACATTCTTCCAGCCTTGAAAAGTAGAATGCTAATTTTTAAAGGCAGTGCCAGAGTGATGGTTTTGGAAATGTACTAATCCAGGTGGCAAAACCTGGTTCCTGTCCCAGTGCTGCTTCATACCAGGTCTGGGAACTTGGGCTGTATTCTCCCTAAATCTCACCTTCCTCATTTATAAACTAGAGTCTACTTGTTTCTCTCACCTTTTTATTAGATTATCAGATAAAGATAATGTATATGTAACAGCACTGTGAAATACAACACTCAATAAAAATGCGAGATGTTGTGACTGCTGATAGATTTTAGCATAATTCCACTAGGCAAATCTTAAGCAAAAAAAAACCTCAATCTTTGCATTAATATTGAATATGCTCTACAGCTCTTGTTCCAGACAATAAGACTTCCTATTAGCAATGGCCAGTCTTTACCCTCCTTCATTGTCATTTTTTGCCTCATTTATTTGCTGTTAGTTTAAGCCATTGAAACAAAATTACACTGAAATCCTCAACAGTTTTGTAGAAATTCAAAAATAAGATCAATATATGCTTCAGAAAGTCAGGTTGGCTTATAGGAGAACTACAGAGTCATGAAATTTGACTGGATCCCATCTCTTCACAGTCTCTTATGGGAAAAGAGATACATAAAACATTAACTTTTGGCATGAGGTGATTTCATCCACAATTATTTTAAGAAAAATAAAAAGATTATTCTAGCGCTCTAGTTTATAAATCAATGAAAAGTAGACAAAGAGCTGACTGTTATCATGCATAAATCAATGAAAAGTAGACAAAGAACTAGCCAAAAACAAACAGTTGAAAGAAAAATGCGTCCTCTACATATCATTTGTTCCTGTGATTGCCCTGTTTGCCCAAGACATGAGGAAATACCAGCAGCGTGTTTCTTTTAAGTCATATCCAGTCTGAGGAAAGATACCTAAATCATAAAGTTTGCATGTCTTGGATTGCTCTTTAATTCCTCAAATATACATTGATCTTCTATAACATTCCATATGCTCTTCAAGATGGTGGTGATGTAATGTTGAGCAGGACAGACAAGACCTAGAGTAGTGCCACTGTCAGAAATAAAGGGATGGGCTTCAAGTGCCATGTCTACTTTTCAACTTTTTCTTCTATTGTTCCCAAACATAAAATCATCTATGCTACATATGCTTAACTCTAATGTTTCAGAAGGGTAGGGACATTTGAAATAAACATGCAAAATTCTCAATATACTACAGATATCATTCTGATCTTCCTCTTCCAAGGTTTCTTGCTTCTCTAATCTCCCCAACCCATCCCATCCCAGGTCTGGAAGCACAAATATCTCATGTCCCCCATGTTTCTTTATTTTTTAATTATATATCTCTCACAATCCTTTTATCTTGGTCGTTTACATTTGGTTAAAATCATGTGTGTATATGTTATCCCTCCTGGTTTTTTGTAATCTCCTAGAGGGCAGGATGCATCCCTAATTCAATTCTTGCCTTGTCTTATATATACTTGATGCATTATATACCTGCATAATTCTTCCTCTTATGACACTTGAAATATTGCCTGGAACATAATAGGTGCCCAATAAATATTAAATTCAATGAATGATTTCATGATATCACGCTAAATTACAGAACAATGCATATATAAATTTATGATGTGATTTTTAGTGTCCTTGGCAATTTTGATGCCCAAAATAATAAGTTTAGACTTCTAAAATATCTATTTTTCTTCCAGACAAAACACAAAAGAGAAAATTGTTAGGCACTTTTTGAGCTCCACATGTAAAGAAAATATGAAAAAGCATCTCAGAAGCCAATATAACTGAATTGATAAGGTATTTGAAAAATCAGTGCCTGTACCAGGAAATAGTTCCATTTGTAAACTTAAAATCTATGGACAAGATCTGAGGTCCTAATATTCTTATGTACATACTAGTGTCAGGTCAAGTAGAGGAAACTAGAAAGTTAAATAAGAATATGCTTGAGGCCAAAGACAATTGTGAACACAAACCAACAGAATGAAGTGTTCTTTCTCATTGATACTTTCAGAGTGAATGACAGTTTCTCAGTCACTACACCCTCGGAACTAGATTTCACTTTATCAGTTCTGGCTGTTTTAAAATAACTGGGAATTTCCACGAAATGAAGTCATTGTGTTCTTGCTGCATATTTTGAGCTTCATAAAACTGGTATGCTGGAGGCAAATCACAATTTCTAATGGGGCTATTCCTACTCAAATTTGTCTTCTTCTACATCATTAAATTAGAAATTATCTGTATTTATCATGATTCCTTCATGGCATCTCTTAAGAAATTTGTTTTGTTGTTTCATTTTTGGCCTCACAGATATCATCTTAGTATCTATTTTTTAAGTTCAAATGTCTACTCTATGTGGCTATCACAACCCAAAATGACCAACATTAACTCCCACTGAGTTCCAGATTATCTACTTAGAACCTAAATTAGCTTAAGTTCTTTGTGGATAGTGGAATTCAGAGCCCCAGCAAAACGAGAAGTGTTTTCTATCCAAGGAAGTAGGTGGCAACAGTAACAGGAGATGAGTTACATATAGGGAGCTTGGTCAAATAAGTATTTAAAGAAAATGAGAGGCAGGTCTTTCACAGTTGGAGAAGGGACTTGCACATATGAAAAGGGAGAAAATTTGAATGAGTCCTGTAATGTTGCATTGGAGTTGAAGTTAGTGACATCCCAGTAGTGATGAACATATCTAGCACCCAGATTTTGGCTTCTAAATACCAATCTCTACTGAAAAGAAATTGAATATCTTTGGAGAAATGGCTGATTCTAAGGCTGGGGTAGGCAAGTATAAGATGATCTTGCTGTCCCAGAAAGTAATAAAGAGCTCAAAGACAGTAACGTATTATAACCCATTAAGTCAAATAGGAAACCATGGATTTATTTTGGAGCAATCTCACTTTTACATTAAAAATTGTGAGTAAAATATAATGAATGTTTACTTATGTCACAGATATAACTAAGTGAATGAAGAACTAAAGTTTGATGGGAAATAAGATGGTTATATAGTTTTAAGACCCTCCCCACAAAATACTTCCTAATTACAAAAAGAAAAAAAAAATAGTAACTTTACAATGGAAAGGCTTGGAAAATGCTACATTAATCAAATGTTTAAAGTGAACATCATCAGCAATAACCCAAATTAAAGTTGTGTACTTACTGAACAGATGTAATGCAATGTCACTTCTATGCTATTCCTGCAAAAGATGTATAAAATGAACTTACTCATGAGGGAGACATCGGACACACACAATTTGAGGGACATTCTAAAAATTAATTGTTCTGTACTCTTCAAAAGTGTCAAGATCTAGAAAGTCAAGGAAAATAAGAAGATTCCAGAATAAAGAATAAAAGACATGACAACTAAACACAACATATAATTCTAAAATGAATATTTCTGCTAAAAAGTCACATTACTGGAACACTTACAGAAACCTGAATGAGGTCTGAGTATTAGAGGGTAGCAATGAATCAATGTTAATCACCTGATTTTGATAGTTGGAAGTTGGCCATGTAGGAGCATATACTTATTTGTAGAAAACACACACTGGTGAGTTCAGAGGTGTGAGACAGTTGCATTGGATAACTTCTTTGTATTGTACTTGCAACTATTCTGTAACTATAAGACTGCTCAAAAACAACACAAAACAAAACCCAATGCAAACTAAATGCACATATCTTTGAGCAATCTCATTTCTGGAAATCTATGTAGATACTTAAGCGAACGTGTCAGGGTATTTGTGACATTGTTTATTATGTGGAAGAATTGGAGATAGCATAATGTTCAACAATAGGAGTGTTAAATGATGTAGGTTTGTGCCATACAATATCAGAGAGCTGTCAGAAAAATATTGATCTGTATGTGTAGGCACAGAAAATGTTCAGGACATACTGCTGAGTGAGACAAATGGAAGATTTAAATCAAAATATAACATATTATCTGACTTTCATATAAAAACAACTCTAAAACAGCCAATACTAAATGTATCCTGTTCAAGGGCTCATAAGCAAATTAGGCTGCAAGTTATATAAGGTATATATCCATATATGCTTTAGTAATCCTGGATCACTCTTATTTTATTTATATCTCAACTTATTCCAGAGATAAATTTAAATGGAAGGTTACTTAGCAAAAGTAATCTCAGGATTTGACTGACCATTTATTCAAATTTGCAAATCAAATCATCTTTTCACATTAGCATAATCAGCAAATACTACCTTATCTTCCATAAAAGAACAAAAGTATTATCCTCTTTTCTATAACTTGAACATTTTGTTAGGAGGAAAAACATCTACCTCATTGCATTCTGACAGTTACATAACATTAGGGAAAGGATAAATTCTCCAACCTTGAGTGTCCATTTTTCTTTCTTTTTCTTCATTTTGTCTTTACACAATATATAAAATATACTCCCAGAAAAAAATTACTGTTGGCATCTCTGTTTTTGCTCAGAAGCAAAGTCTGGACACAGCTAAGCTGTTCTAATTCCTAAGCTCAGTACTTTAGCTAAAAATCTATAACATTTTCTGAAATCAAAGATGGTCTTAGAATTTTACACAGAGATATTTGCTAAATCCTTTCAAGTTCAGAAGATAATCCCCAAACTCGACTGTCCTAAACTCACATCTTAAGCCAATTTCAGATGGAGCATCATACCAGCTACTCCCCCACAGAGGACACATTCTCATGATGCTTGGAAAAGTACTGAGCTGCACTGCCGATTTTCATGAAGGTTTCCAAGTTGTCCTGGCTTCCTTTAGTGAGACATGCTTCCATCAAGTCACTGGGATGCTATGACTCAAACCCATGGACATCCTTATCAAGACAGATGGACTCTCTTACCCTCTGTAACTTACTTTTGTTCTCATGATTTAGAGCTCCATCCTTAGCAATGAGCACTGACAGAATGCTAAGTGCTTTGAGTGTATAATCTAATCACAAGACCAATCCCATAAGGGGAATAGTACCATTCACCTTTCAGTGATGAGCAGCCAGACGCTCAAAGGCAGTGTGCAACTCAACAAATATTTGCTCCCATTACCTCCATATTTTTTAATCTTTTATTCCATTTTGTCATCTTAGCACCATCATCCCTCCATTCATTCATTCCTTATGTGTGTGTGTGTGTGTGTGTGTGTGTGTGTGTGTATACAAAATATGTCCTTGTTCTAGTCATGGTAATGCAACAGTGATTAGCAGTGAAAGTGGAATGTATGTGTTAATGTACATTCTAGCTTATTATTCATTTTATTATTTGTATAAATGTGGGGTACAAGTATAGTTTTGTTACATGGACATACTGTGTTGTGGCAAAATCTGGGCTTTTAGTGTAACCATCACCTAAATAATATACATTGTACCCATTAAGTAATTTCTCATTCCTCACCCCCCCCACCACCCTCCCAAAGTTCATGTCTATTATTCCATTATTCCACAGTCTGTGCCCATGTGTTCACGTCATTTAGCTCCCTCTTATACTGGCTTACTATTCTTTAGCCTCTTCCTAATATTTTAACTGAAACATTTCTGAAAAAGCCTCACAACACTGCTATCTTCAGAAAAGATTATGTATTGAATTACATTTGTTTATTTAAATACCTGTTACCTCCACTGATCTGTAATTATCCATAAAGGCAGAGATAGTGAGGATGTCATTCGTTACTAAATTCCTGGTCTCTGGCTTATTTTGTGCAAATTCCATTATTTATTTATTACATTTTTAATGAATGATTATCAGCCTCACTCCAATGAGAGAGCTTATAACCGTAGGATTGATTTTTCTCTTTGCCAATCACAAAGGCTATAGTTAAATTATTTTTTGATTTTACCTTATCTGTCTCCTTAAGAACCAAGCATGCTAGAAAGCAGAGTTTGATGCAGTACCTGAGGGAAGAGAAAAGACTCACACTCAAGGTCACCATTTCTGTGAAGAATTCAATTAGACTCTCACGTGCGAGAGACTTCTTAAAAGTGTACTAGGCCAGCAATGAGTATAAAGTTTCAGTAATGCGAGACAAATAAGTTCTAGAAATATGCTGTACAACATCGTGCTAAAGTTAAAAATACTGTACATTTAAAAATGTACAAGGGCATATCTCCTGCTATCTATTCTTACCACAATTACATATGTTGATATAGTTGTATGTGTATGTACATATGCGCACTGAGCAGTGTTCCCCCCCAGAAGAATCCGCATAATGGGCAGGCAGAGGAGGGTCTGGAAAGGGATATGACCTGGAGTGAGAGATCACAGAACACACACACTAGTCCTTAAAGAGGTATTCCTACGAACTTTCAGAAAGAATTGAGTAGATTCATTTTATAAAGTAAGGATTCTGAATGAGCAAGCAAGGACAAAGAACAACAATAACACAAAAAGTACTTGTGTATACTAATGTGACTTCATTTACATCCACAAGCCCGAGACACCCTGAGGTATTTGGGTTACAGAAAAGTAAGAGTATTGACAACTGGAGAGGTAATACCACATCTTCCGTATTACATAGCAACAGAACAAAATCTTGACACCAGGTTTCCACACTCAACATTCAGTGATCCTTACCATACTCCAATTCAACTTTTTCGTAGGCTCATGGTTTCCTACCTGGATAATTCTTCATTTTCTTCAACAATGTAAATTCTATCCAACTTCAAAGTTCTGTCAAAGCTCACACTCCAACACATTGGACATCTATCTGATGATACGATTTGCCTATAGCTGTCTCAAATCTACGCATATATTTTGGTAGTAAATTTTGCCTTTGTCAACACTTCTAAAGCATGTAAAAAATCAGAACAATATCACTCATACACAAGAAACATTAAATAAGCGTGCATTGATCACCTTGCATATGTCAGAAACAACTCCAGTACATTACTTACATAGAGAAAGAAGGAAAAACATGAATTGATTGCCTGACATATAAATTCTAGTACATTACTTGCACATTGAAAGAAATAAACAAGCATTCGTTGAGCACCTAGTATATGCTAGTGAGTAGCCTTAAAACATAAATCACACATAAGTGGAAAAAATTAGCATGAATTGAGCACCTAGCGTATATTAGGTATTGTTCTAACACAGCATTACTCACAGATGGAGCAGGCATTGAGCTCCCATATTTGGCAGGCCCAATTTTTATGACACTACTCCTAAAGAAATGGGCATACATTGACTATATATTATACACCAGGTGCTACTCTAGATAACATTACTCATACACAGGGGAAGGAAGAAAAGTTCCCTTTATCATCTACTACAAGCTAGGAAATCTTCTAGTACATTATTAAAACATACAGAGGTAAGGTAGTAAACATACCCTGAGTGTCTACTATATGCCAGAGACTATAGTAGTACAAGATTACTCACTAATAGGGAAAGGAAGGGACCCTCATGAAGTAATTAGTATTGCCAGGCAATATTCTAGTATAATATTTCTCACATAGAGAAGAAAAGTAGTAAGCAAGCATGCACTGAGCACCAATATATGCTAGATACGATACTAGTACACAACTACTCATGCATGGGATAAGGAAATGAGTATGCACGAAGCATCTAATATTATGCCAATCACTATTCCAGAAAAAACCTAACCACGCATAGAGTAGCAAACAAATATTCTTTAAGTGCCTATTATATTTTTCCCCTTTTTAATTATTTTATTTTATTAATTTATTTTTTGAGACAGCATCTCACCATGTTGCTCAAGCTGGAGTGCAATGGCATGATCACAGCTTACTGCAACCTTGACCTCCTGGGCTCAAGAGTTCCTCCTGCTTCAGCCTTCTAAGTGCTGAGACTACAGGCATACACCATGACACTTGGATAATTTTAAAAAAAATTTATTTCATGCAGAGACACGGTCTCACTATATTGCCCAGGCTGGTCTTGAACTCCTGGGTTCAAGCAATCCTCCTGCCTTGGCCCCTCAAAGTGTTGGGATTACAGGCATGAGCCACCATGCCTGGCCCTCCACTTTTTAAATACAACATTATTCACACATAGGGAAGAAATTTTACAAGGATGGCTTGAACACACACGCATGTTCCTTCTCCTATGTAAGAAAAAGTTTGTACTATTACAGTGAAAAATACAAGAGCTCAATGCGTATCTGTATTCTTCAATTGACATGTTAGTATTGTTTTACAGAAACTGTAGCTGACATATACTTAATGTATATTCAGTCCCAGTCCTGATGTGAGAGTAAGATTAATGGAGAATGGTACTTAGCACATACTAGATGCTCATTGCATGCATGTTTTCTTCTCCCCACGTGTGAATATTATACACACATTATACAAAAATAATACCTTGCATATTCTAGGAACTTAAGATATGCGCATTTGTTTTTCTTTTCATGGAAGTAACATTATACTAGAATAGTGTTTGGCATATCCTGGACATTCAAAGCCCTTTGTTTTCTTTCTTAATATGTGAGTAATATTGTACTACAACACTGCCTCACACTCAATTCATTATCATTTATTTGCACTATGTGTGAGGAAGTTTTTATGAGAACAGTGACTGGAGTTATACAAGTCTATCAATGCATGGCTATGTGATTCCTACTACATAAGAGTAAGGTTGTAATAGCTTTTACCATGCACTAGGCACTTCACTCACGCTTCACTCTTTCTCTCTCTTATGTTAATAAGGTTGTAATAGAATAATATGGACATACGTTAAGAAATTAATGCATGCCTGATTCCCTTCTCTTATGTGTATGTACCAAAATGGTTCCTGAAACATATTCATTGCTTTGTGCATACTTGTTTACACCTAGTATTGCCAAGCATTATTCCAATACATTACCACAAAGTATAAAAACAAGCAAGTGTGCATGAATGTTCTTTGTAGGCCAGGCAGTATTCTAGTACCACTTTAATCTTATGTAGACTAAAGAACACAAGCATACATTGAGAACCTAGGAGAGGTCAAGCATTATTCTAGCACATTATTACATATAGATAATGAGACATATTACATAGGAATGCCCAGTATATGTCTGAAACAACATTATTTGTACAGAGAAAAGAAAACAAGAATTCATTATGCACCTTGTATAAGCTAGGTAATATTTTAATACAAGCATACTCACATATAGGAGACAGATATGAGCAGGCATGCATGGGACAACTAGGGTATGCCAGGCACTATTTTAGTACATTACTCCAAGAAAGCAAATACTTTGTATGACAGGCAATCTTTGAGCACAACATCACACACACCTAAATGGGAGGAAGCAAGCACGCACTAAGTATATGTCAGGTCCTCTACTAAGACTAATACAAAATTGCTCTCACATAAGGGGAAGCAAATGAGCATGCATGGCGCATCTACCATATGCAAGGCAATTTTATAGTACACCCACAATCACATTTAAAGGAAAGAAACAAGCCTACTTGCAGCACATATTATATGCCAAGACCTGTTTTACTACAACATTACTCACAAATACAGAGAAAGAAACAAGCAGGTATTGACCCTCTGTGATGTGCCAGGCACTATTGTAGTTACAACTTTGCTAAAACATAAGGGAAGGAAACCAGGATGCATGCAGCACTGGCATATGGCAAGCACTACTCTAATGCATTACTTACACATAGGGAGAAGAAAATGAACGCTCTTTGAGTTCCTAACATATGTCTGGCACAATTCCTATTCTAACATCACTCACACATAGGGGAAAAGAAATACACATACACTGAAGTTTTATATATTTCAGGTATTATTTGAACACAACATTAAAAACATGTAGCAGAGAAAAGCAAGGATGAGTTGAGTACCTAACATACATCAGGCATGATTCCAGCACATTATTCATATACGAGTGCAAAGAAACAACATGGATATGCCAGATACTATGCTAGTACAAACATACTAACATATAAGGGGAAAGAAAAGATTACGACTAATCACCTAATATATGTCAGGTGTTATTTTAGAATAATGTTATCCATACATAGGGGAAAGAAGCAAGCAAGCATGCATTTATTGCCTAGTGCACGCCAGGTAACACTCTAGTACAGAATGACTCACTCTTAGAAGAAATGAGGGTGCATCCAGCACTTACATATGTCAGGCATTTGTTTACTATCAAATATGTACATGTAGAGGAAGAAAATGAGCATGCATTTAGAGCTGAATTTATGCCAACTATTATTCCAGTATAACTTCACAAATCCATATCAGGAAGGAAGTAAGCATACATTGTGTGCTTCATTTAAGTCAGGTTCTGTTTTAGCACAATCTTGGTCACGCATGGGGGAAGGAAGCAAGCATGCATTGAGTGACTATAATACCAGATATTGTTCAAGTAGAGATTTTCTCACTTATAGGAGGAGAAAATGAAGATGCATTGAGCAAATAATAAATGGCAGGCACTAACATTTCTGACATACAATAAAAGAAATGAGTATGCATTTAAAGCTTAGTATATGCCAAGTCTAGAGACAAAGAAGGTCATCCAATAATGATAAAAGAGTCAACAGGAAAATGTAACAATTATAAAAATATACATATCCTACATTACAGCATCTAAAGATTTAAAGCAAATATTCGCAGATATCAGAGGAGACATTAACAGCAATTCGATAATCGTAAGAGACTAAAATAATCCACTCTCAGTAATGGATACAGCATTAGACTGAAAACCAACTAAAAAAAACAGACACATCTGAATTGAACAACACTATAGACTAAAAGGACCTAACAGACCTATACAGAACTTTCCACCCAACAGCAGAAAAATACACATTGTTCTCAAGTGCACAGAGAACATTCTCCAGGATACATTACATAATATGTCACAAAACAAGTCTTAATAAATTTAAGAAGGTTAAAATCATTCCAAGTATCTTTTACAACCACAGTGAAATGAAACTAGAATCAATAATAATAAGAAAATGGGAAAATTCACAAATACATGAACTTGAATAACATACTCTTTTAAAATTCTTTGTACTATTATTACTTTAACAGTTTTTGGGGAACAGGTGGTATTTGGTTACATGGATAAATTCTTTAGTGGTGATCTCTAAGATTTTGGTGCACCCATTACCTGAGCAGTGTACGCTGTACCAAATGTGTAGTCTTTTATCCCTCATCCCCCTCCCAGCCTTCCCCCTGAGACCCCAGAGCCCATTATATCATTCTTATGCCTTTGTGTCCTTATAGCTTAGCTCCCACTTATAAGTGAGAACATACAGTGTTTAGTTTTCCATTCCTGAGTTACTTCACTTAGAATAATGGTCTCCAGCTCCATCCAGGTTGCTGTGAATTCCATTATTCTGTTTTTTTCAACATGTCTAATTATCAGGGAAATGCAAATCAAAACCACAGTGCAATGCCACCTTACACCTGCAAGAATGGCCATAATTTAAAAATAAAAAAAAATAGATGTTGGCATGGATGTGGTAAAAAGGGAACACTTTTACTCTGCTGCTGGGAATGTAAACTAGTACAACCCCTATGGAAAATAGTATGGATGCTCCTTAAAGGATTAAAAGTGGAGTTACCATTTGATCTGCAGTCCCACTACCGGGTATCTACCCAGAGGAAAATGAGTCATTATATGAAAAAGACACTTGCACACACGTTTATAACAGCACAATTCACGATTGCAAAAATATGGAACCAGCCTAAATGTCCATCAACCGACAAGTGGATAAAGAAAATGTGGTGGGCTGGGTGCAGTGGCTCACGCCTGTAATCCCAATACTTTGGGAGGCCGAGGCAGGTGGATCACCTGAGGTCAGGAGTTTGAGACCAGCCTGGCCAACATGGTGAAACCCTGTCTCTACTAAAAATACAAAAATTAGCTGGCCGTGGTGGTGGGCGCCTGTAATCCCAGCTACTCGGGAGGTTGAGGCAGGAGAATTGTATAAACCTGGGAGATGGAGGTTGCAGTGAGCTGAGATTGTGCCACTGCACTCCAGCCTCGGCGACAGAGTGAGACTCCAGCTCAAAAAAGAAAAAAAAGAAAAAGAAAATGTAGTATGTATATATACATATATATATATACATACAGATATATATAAATACACCATGGAAAACAACACACTCTTAAACATCCATTGGGTCAAAAAGGAAATCAAAAAGAAATTTAAAAAATATCTTGAGACAAATAAAAATGAAAACACAACATACCAAGCTTATGGGATGCAGCAAAAGCAGTACTAAGAGGGAAGGTTATAGTGATAAATGCCTACATTCAAAAAGCAGAGAGATCTCAAATAAATAAACTTTACAGCTCAAGAAACTAGAAAAAGAGAAACAAGCTAAGCCCAAAGTTAGCAGAAGAAAGAAAATAATAAAGATTATAGCAGAAATAAATAAAGTATAAAAAGAAATAGAGAAAAGACAACACAATGTAGTCGTTTTTTGGAAAAGATAAAGAAAATTGACAAACTCTTACCTAGACTGAGAAAAAGGAGAGGACTTAATAAAATCACAAATGAAAGAGATTTACATTACAACAGATGCCTCACATGTGAAAAGGACCATTATAAAAGGCTATTATGAACAGTTATAAGGGACTATTATGAATAGTTATACATGAATGAAGTGGATAATCTGAAGAAATTGATATGTTCCTAAAACATTCAACCTATCAAAACTGAATCAAGAATAAATAGAAAGCCTTAAGAGACCAGTAACAAATAAAGAGATTGAAGTAGTAACTGAAAACTATAATGGCCGTAATGGTCTTCTATATGGCTGAGTGCCACCAAACATTCAAAGAATACCAATCCTTTTAAACTCTTCCAGGAAAGAGAAAAAGAAGAAATACTTTCAAACACATTTTATGAGGCCAGCATCACTCTGATACCAACACCAGAAAAGGACACCATAAGAAAGGAAAAAAACCAGGCCAGATGTGGTGGCTCACCCCTGTAATCCCAGCACTTTGGGAAGCTGAGGCAGGAAGATCACTTGAGCCCAGGGGTTCAAGACCAGCCTGGACAGTATAACGAGACCCTGCCTTTACAAAAAATAAAAATTAAAAAATCAGCTGGGCTATGGTGGCATGTGGCTGTAATTCCAGTTACTCAGGAACCCGAGGTGGGAAGATCGCTTGATTCCAGGAGGTTGAGGCTGCAGTGAGCTATGATTGGCCACTGCACTCCAGGCTGGGTGGCAAAAAGAGACCCTGTTTCTAAAGAAAACAAAAGAAAACAAAACCGAGACCAATACCCCTGATACACACAGATGCAAAAGTCCTCAGTAAAACACTAGGGTGACCAAGTGGAACTTACTGCAAGCATAGTTCAACATATACAATATACAATCTAATCTCTAAACAATGCACTAAGGGCTTTTGGTATACAAGGCCTTATTTTAGCACAAATTTACCAAAGATGGGGGAAGGAAACATGAAGCACCTAATGTATGCTAGAAAGTATTCTAGCAAAACATAACTCCAGGGGGAAAAACTAGCATGCATTGAATGCCTATTATATGTCAAATTCTATTTTAGTAAAACATTATTCATACAGAAGAGTAGGAAAACAAGATTGCATTAAGTATCTTGAATATGCCAGGCACTAGACTTGAACAATTACTCATATACAGGTGGAAGAAATGAGCATGCTTTGATCATCTAGTACAGGGCCCCCCAACTATAGGTATCTAGTTTAACTTTATCCACACATAGTGGAAAGGAACAGGACCGCAATTACTACTTCCTATATGCCAAGTATTAGTCTAGTTAATATTTGCTATTATCTAGGAAAAGGGAGTGAATATGTATTAAGTGCGGGGTATATTCCAGGTACTTTTCTAGTACATCACTCATAAGTCAGTAGAATAATAAAAGTATGTGTTAAGTGTCTCATGTTTGTCAGGCAATCTTCTAGTACAATGTACTCACTCATAGGAGAAGAAAACAGGCATGCATGGAGCATCTGGTGTTGTCAAGCACTGTTTTAATGCAATATTAGAAAAACAGAAACAATCACTTATTAAATGTCAGCCAGTTTTCTGGTACAACTTTACTCCTACTTAGACTGAAAAATTAATGCATGCATTTCATGCCTAGGTTAAGCCAGGTGCTATTCTAGTAGGACTTTGCTCACATAAGAAGAGAAGATTATGCATTGTACACTTAGAACATGACAGGTGCAACATTACACATTAGGAAGAGGAAGCAAGCATTCATTAATTAATGAACATTGCATATACAAAATAATAATTTTGTACAACCTTACTCACCTGTGTGAGAATAGAAGGGGCACATATGGAGTACAAAATATATGCATGGAAATTTTCTTGAGCATTTTAATTCATATCTAAATGAAGAAAATGAGCATGCTTGCAGCACGTAATATCATTATACACTACTCACATATCATGTAAAGGAAGAAATTGGACTTAAATAACAAATGTATTGCAGGGTCTATTTTAGTACAACTTTATTCTCACATTAGGAAAGGAATTGAGCATGCATTAAGTGTTTAACGTATTTCAGGTTTTACTCTATCATAACTTACTCACATCTAGGGGAAAGAAGCAAATATACATTGGAAACTTGTATGTAAGATACAATTCTAGAATAACATAAACTACAAGCCTGCATGGAGCAGTGATATGCCAGGCAATATTCTAGTACATCATTACTGATACATATGTGAAAGGACGGAAGTATGTATTGAACATTCAGTGTATACTAGGTTCTATTCCAGTACAGACTTATTGACATACAAGAGAAGAAAAACAGTATTTATGAAGCACCTCGTATATCCCAGGCACTGGTTTACTACAACTTTCCTCACACATGAGGTAAGGAAACAGGGATGCATTAAACTTCAAGTACACACCAGGCACTAATCTGCATAACATTAGGGAGCAGGAAGCATGCATACATAGGGAGGAGGAAGCATGCATGCATTAGCCCCTAATATACAACTGATACTATTCAATTACAACACATCCACACACAAGGGAAGGAAATGAGCCCGAATAGACTACCTAGTATAGGCCAAAGTACAAGCTAAAATAATCACATATGGGGGACTTAAGTAAGCATGCACTGACAGCCTAGTATGTGTGAGATACTATTCTAGTTCAACCTTACCCACACATAGTGAAAGACACAAGACCTTTTTGAGCACCTAATACATAGTAGGCACTATCCTAATACAAGCTTACTCTCATAAAGGTGGGAAATAATCCACTGAACCTCTGTATGTCTGGTATTATTCTACCATAATATTATTGACAGCAATTGAGCACACAGGGACTATGTAGTCTATCCTAGGTATTATTTTCAGGGACAAGAAATGAGCATGTGCTGAGAAACTAATGTATGTCAGGTCCTATTCTAGAACATTACTGATCCATAGGTAAAGAAAAGAAGATTGAGTTGAGCAATGAGTATAGGCTGGGCTTTATCTAATATAGCATTACTCACACTCAGGGATATAAACAAGGATACCTTGAGTGCCTAGTACATTCAGACGCTCTTCTAACATATGATTACTTGCATAAAAGTTAAAAATAAGCATGTATGTAGTATCTACTATATGCCAGGCACTTCGACCTATTATTCACACATAGGATAAAGAAAGGAGAAATGCGTTGATGAGGGATACTCCGTAACATCCAGTGTGAATGAAATCCTCGTTCCTTCCTCCACCTTTTCTGTCAGCCGCCCTGGTAACAAGACATGGTTGCCTCATTGCAGCCTCATTAGAGACAAAAAATAGGCTCTCCACTCAGGCTGGTGTGGGTGTGAATGGGATGATAGTTTTCTCTGTGGTGTTTGGCCCGAGTAGAGCAATTCTTTTCTAAGAGTTTTCTGTCTTGGTAGGCTACCTCTTTCGTGGTGATTGGCTGAAGGGCAGGCTTTTGTTGGGGTTTTGTTTTGTTTTGTTTTGTTTTGTTTTTTTGGTCCGTTGCTTTTTTGAGCCTGTTGGCACCTCTGGACTGTCAGCTTCTTTAGCACCAAGTCTAGGTTTAAAAACAAACAGGCCGGGCGCGGTGGCTTACGCCTGTAATCCCAGCACTTTGGGAGGCGGAGGTTGGCAGATCACGAGGTCAGGAGATCTAGACCATCCTGGCCAAGGCGGTGAAACCCTGTCTCTACTAAAAATACAAAAAATTAGCTGGGCTTGGTGGTATGTGCCTGTAGTCCCAGCTATTCCGGAGGCTGAGGCAGGAGAATTGCTTGAACTCGGGAGGTGGAGGTTGCAGTGAGCTGAGATCACACCACTACACTCCAGCCTGGACCACAGACCGAGACTCCGTCTCAAACAAACAAACAAACCAAACATCAACAACAATAACAACAAAGAACACCACAGGCACCTTGCTGTTGTACTGTTTCTTGAGTCCTAGATCTGCAGCAAGTCGGCCTTCTTCTCTCCACCTTTAATGAGAGACTTCTTGAGTTCTCTGCACAAATAATGCCCAAGATTTCTAGTTGTCCATCATTATAATTTTAATACACTCTCCTCACCCATTTATTCTTTTCCCATAGTTTTGTTCTTTCATTTGTACACAATTATACACTTTATAAATTTTTTAGAAATATCTCCTCTTATAGTTAAAATTTTAGCTCCCCATTTAAGTTGACTCACGCTATATATGTATTCCAAATACCCACATAATCGTCATTGAACTTAAATTCTGTCTGCAATTCTTCTAAAGAACAGTGAAAGTTATTAACTTGGTATTTTTAAAAAATAAAACATGTTTAATTTTTCTTTTTTCATGTCACAACCTTGTACCTACTCTTTTATGTCTAATAACCCTTTAGGATATATCAATCGCCTCTGATATTTAAATGACATTTGTATTAGAAATTCTGATAGTCAGTTGTGATTTAACCATACTTATAAATTAATGTGGATCCTGAATGTTTGCAAATTACGCCTTTTCTGCTTCTCTTTCCCTTCACTCTCTCTGCTCTTGTTTAAAACAAGAATTAAAGTCACTCCTATTAATTGATTTCTGTATTTTGGAAATATTTTTGGGAGATAATTAGTATAACAATATAATTAATCTACTATAATATAATAGACAGTATGATTTGTTGACTTCTCTTCTCTTCATCTTAAATAGTATTACTGAATGTCTTGGCCTTCTCATTTCCTTACCTTGTCTCTGACATGTCTCTTTCCTGTGAAGCAATCCTGCCATGGAATCTTTGTTTAGCAGAAGCTAGATTCTCTCACCATTTTTCTTCAGACAATTTGTTTCTGTTTTATTTTCTGTTCATTTTTATGGCCTTCTGAATTCATCTTTTTTATCTTCCCCATCTATTTCTGAAAGCCCAGTTGAGTGTATTCCTAATTTTTTTTATCATCCCAAGGTACCTAATAGCATTTGTTTCAACAGATCATCAGGTTGCCCTTCTAGTTAAGTACGTTCTCCTTTAATTCTGCCATAAACCAGGCAGAATTTAAATGAATCTGATTCAGTTTGAATAGAATCAGTCCTAGTTATGACAGGTTTTACTCAGTTAGAAGCAGTGTTATCTACATAGAAATCTAAAACTAGTCAAAAAGTTTTAAGTTCATCCTGAAGTTTCAGAAACACTCTGAACCAAAGAAAATTGATTTATATGGTTGATTTGGTTCAAGTAGTTTTGATACATTTAAGTAGGCCTGGATGAACCTAAATTAATTTAAACTGATGAGAAAACATGTGGGTAAACCAGGGCTGGTTTTAATTAGTCAGAAACTATGCAAACATAATGAACCATTTTTTATAAAGCCCGTAGGTGCATTTGCTTAAGGCTCGCCCAGATGTGACCAGCCTAAAGGACTGAAACGGATTTAACTTCTTAGAAAGTTAAATGTCAGTCTGTTGAGTTGTTTTTGGTTTTGAAAAATTAACCAGAACTGATTACAGCCTGACAGATGAGGTCTTTATTTATTTATTTATTTAGCAAATCATTACAAAGATCTCTTAAGCTTCTTGATCCTCTATGTTAGGTACATTTCTCAAAATCAATTCCTTGATTGATCTTGAGGTCTCAATCTCAGAAATCTAAATTACAGAAAATATTCTTTGTTTCACCCCAAAAGAATTCATTTGTCCTGACCTCAAAGTCACAATTTCTAAACTTGACCTCATTGCCTTCAAAATAACACCTTTTAAGGGGAAAATGTTGAGGCAGGTAGAGGATGATTACTGAAAAAATGTTTGGAAGAATGAGCCAGAATAATCACTTGGCATATATCAGGATTTCATTCTAGCCCATCAAGAACTCCACCAAGTGTCCACAATGCTGCCCTGGTTTCCAAAAAAAATAATAATTTCCTGAAAACACACGTCAAAATTATTCTAACATTGTTTTCATGTATGTCCCCCAAAAGGGACGTCTGTCATGCCAATGTTCTAGGATGCAATTCTGTAGTTCCATTGCCATAGAAATCACTCTTTCCCCCGATAAATTTATTAATTTTTAATCATTTTATTGAGGTATGTTTGACATACAAAGCTATAGATACTTAACATATACAACTTGATTTGTTTGGATATAAGCATACAACTATGAAACCTTCATCACAATCAATGCCATAAATGTATTCATCTCCTCCAAAGGATTCACTTTTCCATGCAGAACCATATGCCTTGTTTATGGCTCTGGACAACCTGGTGCTCTTCTCCAAGCTCATCTTTCTGCCAGGGAATACCAGTATTCATTTAGCTATTCTAACCAGATATGTTACCGAGTAAAACACCCCATCTCTACTTTTAAAATAGTTTAATTTGAAACTCTAAAGTAATGCCATTCTTTTGAGGATGACTTTGGGCAATGTTCTCCTACCTCTGTAGGGAAGCATGGTTTTTCCTCCTCTATCATTAAAGGTACTGAATAAAGGTGTTAATGTTCAACTTGCATGGGTCTCTGGGTGTTGCTAAACTCCTTCGCTGATTAGGTTTTCTTGTGTGTGTGTGTGTGTGTGTGTGTGTGTGTGTGTGTGTGTGTGTGTGTTTAAGGTCAAATTTCATGGTTCTTAATCAATACTTTTAGATTGTGCTTGTTCTCTGGATCTTTTCATTGCATCTTTTCTTTTCCACCTCTTTCACTTCTCACAGAAGGCAACTAAGGGGTCAGCTTGCTTTTGTCATCCTTTTCTCAATTGTTTCTGATTCTTCACTATCTCCCTGTCTCTGTTCTTCATCTTTTGCCTAAGGCTTTTCTCCCATTCATAACATACATCTATGATGCACCTTACCCTAGCTATGGCAGAGGGAAGTTAAATGCAGGGGTGGGCTTCTTCGGTGGTCTGTGTCTCCAACTATGGAATTTCACTTTAACTGGTTCTTCTCTCCTTCAAGTTCTGCATTACTCTAGGCCACACCAGATGCTCATCAGCTTTTGACTCACTGGGCTACTCAGGAGCATCACTGGAAATCCCTCTTCCTTTTCTTCATTTGAGGGGATCAACTCTCTATATTTAGCATCTGCTATAAACTATTCCTTTCTTGCCCCTCTTAGATGGAGACATGATGCCTGTTTGACTAAGACAATGGAAGGGAATATAACAGATGTTGCACAGATAGAAGTAAAGAGTTCCAAAGTTTGAGATCCTGGACTTTTTAGTCAACAAGGTACAGCAATCATCCATTCACTCAGTCAACTAACATATATTGACCATTGGCCACACATCAGATACACTGCTGGGATGGAAGAAGTGTAATATGAGGCCCAATATTTTCAAATATGTGGGGTATGGGAGCACATGTCACAGGGGCTTGTTAAGGCATTCAGAAGAAAACTTGATGAAATAAGAGGATTACTTACAGAGAGGGTGGAAGTAATGACATCAGTAATGAGAAAGGACCTCACAATAAACTAGGACAGTCTTCAAGGCACATGTGAGCTAGGCATCTGTGGGTGACTGTGCTGCTCTAAAATGCCACTTGTTGCAGAGGGAATATAATACAACCTAGTGAAACCAATATTTTATGAAGATATTTACTTATCATGAGTGCAGGGCTAAATGCCACTGGTTTGGGGAGGTGCCCAAGATGAAAACTTTGGCTGAAACAAAAATGAGTTCAATAATTTATTCAGAGTTGTGTGATAAAAGAATTCACTATTTGTAGTACACAAACAAGTTGTCTTGCTAAATGTCATATAACATCAGAGTTATAACTCAAGGGCCTGCTTTGTATTTTTGATATAACATAAAGAGATGATAGTTATGCTTTAATCTACAGGGTGTGTTTTTAATTGCCACTTTGAATATATTTTTCTAAGCCAGAAGATGAACAAGTGTCTTGCTCCGGATATAAAGTCCCCCTGAAAAAATGAGTAGCTGAAATAGTTCCTTGAAGAAGAAGAAAAAAGTATTCTTCTAACCAAAGGAACTCCTGGGAGAGGAGCAATTGGAACTAGAAAATATGAAGTCCTAATAAGTCAAAACCATTGGATCATGACCCATCTCATCAGTCTAGCAGGTGGTGGTGAGAATTACAGAAATCTATTAATAGGAAATAATAGAGGAGACAGAAACCACAGATATTTAACCTGAGGATAAAAGAGTCACCCCTTACAGGTGCCTGAATTCCCAATGACCCAATACCAGAAAAGTATTTTCCAAACTGATATTCAATGAAACACTATTTCATATGACATAAGAGTTATAATTTTGCAAATGTTTGAGAGTCAAATAAATCTCAAAATTCCAAGTTAAACGAAATTAAGCAAGTACATTTTTTTCCTCTAAGGAAAGCATCTCAGAGCCTTTAATATGCTAATACACAATGTATTTCTCCAAGAATAAGAAAAAAAGTATTTCCCAAAAGTAATGATGAAAGGACATCTTTTAGCATGTCCCAGGATTTATGTTTTGTGGACTAATGTTTGGGAGATGCTAATTTATATCATGGTTGATATTTGAACTCCAAAACTGTAAAACAGGTAAAGGCAATAGCAAGAAGATTTGGCCCACAAGATTCCTTACAGTTCAGGAGATATCAGCAATATAACTTTGTAAAGTGATCTATTCACAGCAATGTTTCAGGGGATGTAGAGGGAACAAGTTAGACAGAACCTGAACCCTTGGAAGCAATGCCCAGGTTCTATCCATGGTTCTAGTCAAATGGGATTTATGTTTGAATTTCTAATCTATGAAGAAGACTATGAGCTAGACAGGGAATCCAAGAAAGATGAGTAGTGTGAAATGGGCCATGATGTCAGAGGTAGAGAAACCAATGCAACTCCAAATCTATAGTGTCCTTCCCAGCCTACATCTCTGGAAAACCAAATAGCAAGTTCATCAATATTCTTTAATTACATCGTCTTTAAATAAATGGTGGAAGACAAGTAAACAGCATATACCGTGACCTATTGGTAACGCAGAACATGGAAGAAATCTTTCTGTATATGTTATATCCAGCAGTAGATAAAGCTGTGGAAGGCTGGAAAGGCCACCAGAAGAAAAAGTGGGAAAGAGCTGACAAGTTCCTGATATGGCCTGAGTTGATTTGGTTACATTATTTTCAAGGCTCACACTTGGAATTAGAAAACTCATGTGATCCTCTCTGTTTGTTCACATATTTATTGGAAAGGTACTTGGAGTCACCATGATGTACAGAAAGATTTCCCCCATTTTTCTAAGTTAAAAAAAGGGCAGATGCAAGCCATTTACTTGTCTTCCACCGTCTAGTTGTAGATGTAGTTAAGGAAGTATTAACCCATTTATTCCAGAGGTACCATCTAGTTGTAGATGTAGTTAAGGAAGTATTAACCCATTTATTCCAGAGATTGAAAATTTTTGTATGTGAAAAATCAGACCTTGGCGATGACCTTGAACAGTAGGATATACATAAGTCCCACAAGCTTAGCGTTCCAATAATGGAACACTAGGCATAGATGGGTTAATAGATTTGCTGTGTGCTGGTCCAGTGATGTAGGCTGAGCAGAACACTATAGATGGGTAGTTTCATCACCTTCTCTACCCTCTACATGATGGATTTTCAAGCACTATTTAAGTCACACACTGAATCTGAGCATTGGAGATGCAAGATACTGTCCTTTTCTTCTAGATATTTAGAGTTTAATTAATTGCAAAGAGCACTGTTTTGAAAACACAGAGCTATGTAGCTGGAAATAAGAATCAACAGTTTCATTGCTTATGAGCGTTACATACTTCTGCAGTTGATTAATAGTTGTCTTGTAGACTGCTTTCACAGACACATAGCTTTGGCAGTTGCCTACTTTAACGCTTAGATATTTACAGTGCTTTCTAGAATTCATTATTAAATCAATTGACTGAGAAATAAATTAACCAATTACTAATAATAGGTAACATTTACAAAGCATTAACAATGTGTCAGATAATGTGCTAAGTGCTTTTATTACCTTATATCATTTTATTTTAAAAGCAACATTGTAACTCAGGTACTATTATTTTCATTTTAAATATGGGGAAAACAAACTATGAGAGATATAAGTAACTTGCCCAAAGTCACATAGCTAGGAAGTTAAAAATCCAGAGTTTGAACCTAGGCATTATGAATCCAAATCCCAAGCTAAATTTCACTGCTAAATCACCCACTTACACCAATGCACTTTAATTATCTAATTGATAATTTTATACTCACTGACTTTGGGTTGATGGCTTTGTTATGAAACAAAACAAAATTTCCCCTTTTTACCAAAACCTCCAGTATTTCAATATTTAAAGAGAATGCTGTGCTTCATTCTTAGGTAGACATAGACTACATTAATTATACTTATCAGTAAGCTAAAGATGAGACTGATTATCAAATGTACCAGTAACAGTGATTATACAGAGGTTTAAATCAGCCAAAATTCCATAACATAGACAACTAAAGAAGTTTCTATAATTTACCCAGAACTTTTGTTTTTGTTCTGTTCTCTGCCTCCTATTTTAGGCCTCTTGATCCTGTGAGTTATCCTAACGCTTGAATAAGTCCAGCCTTGGGGTCCCTCCCTGTCCTTATTTTCGCTCGCTGTGTTTGGCAGAGCTTGCGTTCATATCCTCAGAGAGTCTTAGCTGTTCCCTAGCAAAGCCCCAGGCAAAGGAAAAGCTTTTCAACCAAACACACTTAAAAATTAAGACACTGCCCTTTGGCATGCCTCCATTCCTTCTCCTGCAGTTCTGTAAAGAACAGACAGCTTCATGTTTTAGAACTTCAGATGTGATCGAATCTGCAACTGAGCTGCATGTACCAATAATATATTTCCTATGATTTTCCAAAAAAACAATGTGGTTCCAAGCCTCACCTTTTAGTGGATGCTGCCTCCTGGTAGATGGGGGTGGTGGTATTTACTGCATGATAAAATTATAGTGAGGAAACATATCAAACTCTAATGTCTCAAGTCGAGGAATTAAGAATAAACGGTCTAAGTTGAAAGATTGGGGGAGTGAAGTGTGCTTGCTTAGATTCTCCATGAACAGCTGTATTGCATGACTCCAGTGGAATCATAAAAATATAGCCTGGCTCTGCTGGATGTGGTGGGCTACTAGAGTTTTCAGATTACATGATCCAGGAAAATGTTTACTACAAACATTTCAACTTCTTCATATTAACAACATCCACACAGTCCTGAGTTTCAGCATAATAGAGGATTCTCTGTAGTAAAACACCACTGCGGATATTTCATAGCCATTTTTAAAAATATTTCATGTGAAATTAGTAATTGCATCATAAGCAAACTGTACATGGGAGGAATGGATAACAATGGTAAAATGAAACCCATAAGACATTGTGAAAGTGTAATTTGCTGTGCCTTTGAGAGAGGGTGAATCTCACTGGTTGAGAACTGTCTGAGTTGTGCCCAAAGATTGAGTAAAGAGTTATAAGGAGAAGCACTTTGCCAGAGTAAAAAATCACGTATTTGAAAATTCCTATCACTTTGGTATCTCATCTACTAACAGAATCTCCATTAGGCCTTCAACATTCTGCAACCTGAGTTCCAACGGTGTCTTTCCTTCCTTTGGAGTGTCTTAATATCTGTTCTTGCTGTTACCTCCACTTATTCAGCTTTGAGACCACATCAAAATTGATCATCTATTTCTTGACAACTATAGGCATTCAATAATTATTTGCTCAAAAGTTCTGGAATCTTTACCACCCTCCTCAAACCACTTGCCTGTTGCCAGCTACTTTTCCATGCTCGGACCCCAAGTTGGTTACTTTAATTCTATCCTTTCTGTGATTTGCTCTATTGATTCCAAATTCAAACTTTCCATTTCTCTACTCATGGTCCTAAACCATGGAATGAGACTATTGAAGACTTCATCACAGCAACGACAGGTCTGGCATATAAGCGTACCCTTAGCAGACTCAACAGGCCCTTGCACAAGGCCCAGGATGGGGCCCACAGCAAGGTTGGATGTACCTGCACAGGCAAGGATTTGATCCATGAATCGTTGGGTCCACTGCTGCTTCCCAGGTATTGCACAATATCCTCTTCCCTTCACAGCTACAACCTCACATTCTGATTTTGAGAATTTCCAGTATGTTTTCTAAACTAGTTGAGAGAATGCCATGAATGCTTAGCAATTTCCAGTTAGGAAGGTAGGTGGACTGGAGAGAATTTTCTTTCTTTCAAGTACACAATAATTGTTCTTGAGTTATCTTAAACCACCAAAACCAACACTTATTTTCCCAAGACAGTGCTGTACAATGAAGTAAACAGAAGAGAAAAATACCTAGAGAGGACACTTTAATCATCAGGTGAATTAAATCAGGACAGCCTACTTTGAAGAACTAAAGCCAAATAAAACAACAAAACAAGCTTTGTTAATTCTAATGAGACTCTGGAATCACCCATTTTCCCAAGGACTGTTAGAATAAATATTTCCTGTATAAACAAGAGCAATGTTTTAACTCTGTAGAACCCAAACTGCCTTAGGTGGATAAGCCTATGGTAACTTGATTTTTCTTATTTCTTTTCATTATGGCCTTTATAAGTTGGAGTGTAAGGAGAAAGAATAATCAATGTGTGGACTTTTTTTCCCCTGCGGAATAAGTGAACTAATGAATTGTTAAAATTTTCTGAAAATGTCCTTAACGCAATGCAAGTAAATCTTCCTGTTCCCCACGGTCTCTCACCATTCCTCATTTATCTTGGATTATTTCGATCCTATTCCCCCAGTATCAGCATGTGGTGTAGTTACATCAATGAATAATTCACATCACAAACAGGCAAATGATTTTGCTTTAAATGATAATAAGCCTGAGGTGAGAAAAAACAATGAGTCTGGTTTACCTTAAAGCCCAATGCTAGAGAATCTTCAAAAATAGTATCTCAGTAAGAGCCTGGATCAGAGGACTGACAAAGATACTGGGCTTGAAATCAAGAATGCATTCAAAACACAGTAAGCCTTCTCTGAAGATCCCCCAGATAGTTCCTAACCCTCACTGCTTCCCACATTACTAAATTCCTTCCACATCACTAAATTCGCAGTGGTTGCCAGTCTGCTGAAACACCGACTATGCTGATTGTAGTCTGTATTTCAAGGTTTCTGTGTATGTTCACGATCAATTTCTCTAACAGAATTTTATTTACTTTGAGAGAAAGAATTATATCTTATACCAAAAGTGTGTTTTTAAGTAAGTGTTGAAATTCATGTTCTAACCAATTATTAAATTCCTTTCCCATTGAATCCACTTTCCAACACCTCAAAACCTCTGTTTTGCTTGCATCTAGGTATAAATGGGAGTGGGGGGAAAGGAGTGCAGCCTGATTATTCTAGGTCTCATGATAACATTCATTATTTTATTGGTGCTCTAAAATAAAGTGTTGATAGTCTATATGGATTCTACAGTCATAAAAATATTTGCTTTTACATTTTTTCGGGTCTTTTTTGAAACACTGGTCTGAGAACACTGCAGTTTCTCAATAACACTTGCTAAAAAGTGAGCTTTCACTGGGTTGATTGATCCACACTTAAGAGGACAAACAGTTCTGAGTGCCTGCTGAAATAGAAATTTTCCATCCTTTTTGAAGACTCAGAATTATGCCAGGGTATATATATTTTCAAGGGTTCAAATTATTTTGAAAACTTTTGTCTTAAAGACACAGACTTAAGGCATTCTCCTCAGTGACACAGGAAATGAGCAGGTGCAGGGCAGTCCTTTAGAAGGCAGTTCCTACAGTTTCCTTCCACCCTATTAAGGAGGTGTGTTCTTGCAATACCTAATATGTCTTGTGCCTATGATAGACTAGGGAGAATTAAAAGACTTGAAATTTAAACCATCATTCTAGTTTTTGACTTTTTAATTTATTATTTTTTGTGTTATTTCCAAGTCTTTTAACTTTTGTAAACTTCAGTTTTTCTTTTTTATTAAAAAGCGTAATAATAGTTTTGCTGCAATTGACATTATATTAAATTAGATAATTATATAAAAGTGCATCAAAAATTTGAGTGTGCTATGCAATGGAAGGGTATTAATTTGGCAAAAGGAAAATATTGGAAGAATGTATATCTCTTAAGTTAACATGACGGAGTAATTGTGGTTTAAGTATTTCCATAAAAATCAAAGTAATATTGTATAAGACCTTTCAGTTATTATACAGTAGACAATTAGTCATGTTTTTAATTCACATAACATTTAATTAGATTTTTTGTTTTTTATTCTATAGAGGAATGTTTAGACAAGCTTACCAACATCATAAAAGAGGAGACCATGTGGATTTAAAGTACGTAGCATATAATTAATTTCAAATTACTTAAGCAATAAAACACTTATCTAACAGCCATTAAGCTACTAGTAAATGTCAAACTATTTTAATTGCACTCAATAAGACAAATTAAAAGCCTAAATATATTTTTAATATTTTCCCTTGCAGGGTCTTAGTGTGGAAAGTGTAGTGTATTTAGTCTTTCCAATATTATTTACATAAGAAGGGAGAAAAAAAAGGAAGATACAGAGGCCTTTGGACTCCAATTGTTTTTCAGTTATTTTTTTTTTTTTTTGATACGGAATCTCACTCTGTCAATCAGGCTGGAGTGCACTGATGCAGTCTCGGCTCACTGCAACCTCCGCCTCCTGGGTTCAAGTGATTCTCCTGCCTCAGCCTCCTGAGTAGCTGGGATTACAGGTGCACGCGACCACACCCGGCTAATTTTTGTATTTTTAGTACAGACGGGGTTTCACCATGTCGGTCCGGCTGGTCTCGAACTCCTGACCTCATGATCTGCCCGCCTTGGCCTTCCAAAGTGCTGGGATTACAGGCGTGAGCCACCGCACCCGCCTCCAACTGTTAATACCATGCCCAGAACTGTCATTTTCCAACTGTGATCAACAAGAAACCTCAGAACAACTGCTGGAGGCAGGAGAGAGAAAAGTGGGTAGGGTTAAAAGCCCCCTCCCCAACATGGCTTCATCTAAAACAGCTCTGCTATTTTATGTACATGGTTTCTATGCAAAGGTACACAAGAAATATGAACTCTTTGGCCTCTAAAGATGTTTCGAATATCTGTAGCAAAAGAAAGAACTCTAGATAAGAAATTAGGGAATCATCATCTCCTCTCCAGATTTGTGACCCTAGACAAGTCTTTTACTCTCCCTAGTGCGTGGATTTTTGTATCTATAAAAACATGGATGTTGTATTAAATATGTTTAATTGTAAATAAATTAAGATTTTTTTAGAAATAGAAGCTTGGGGGAAAATAGTAGGATGAAGTATCAGGAAGCTAAATACCTCAAATGCCAGCTAGAACTGGTCATTCTATGGAGCAAGAAAAGATCTTCATCTTGCATCCCGTCACTGGGAGTTATATGCCTCATTTCTGGCAGCTGAGAACTCCCTTTCTCTCTCACTGCCTACATTCATCTCTTTTGGAGCTGGCATCTCAGTCAGACCCTTCCTACCTCAATCAGTTTATCAGACACTAAGAAATCCCAGTCTTACTGCTCAAGGTTACAGCTAATGCAGAGCCTTTCGAAGAAATGACCACACATACTCTCATTATGAACAAGTATATAAATCTGCAGCATACAGCTATATAGCAGATGAGCCTATTTAAATTATCCCACATATGAAGACAAGGAAAGCAGAGTAGTTCTGTTGAAGTGATGGGGCCGAGGGGCTAGAACGCTGTCCCCCAGCCTCCATCGAGTCTCTCCACCCTGAGACACCTCTGGTAAGAGCAGCGTTCTCAGGAACCCTGTTTGAAAACTACTGTATAATCATACCCTTTTAACTTATTAATGCATATATATATATATATATATATATATATATATATACACACTTGTTACTTTACTTTTTCATAATGCCCACTTTCTTTTTACTGTAGTAACCATGGAATTGAAAATTAGTCATTTTGGAAGATATTTATAAATATCTTCACTTTAAGGGAAAACTTGAAGTCACTTTATACTTGTTGAAAACATGATCTAGGAATATTTGATTTGTGCATTCTTCTCTCTTTATCTTTTTCATGTGGGAAAGAAGGATTAGAAGCTAGGTTGACTCTTGATCTAATTTCAAATAAGAAAATCATTACACTTGCAAAAATCTATCATTACCAAGCATCATTACTTCACTTGGAGCAATGCAAGGAGAGAAAAAAATAACTGCCTTTAGAACATGAGAAAATTCTCATTGATATGTTTATTCTTTGATTCTTCATCACTTTTCTGCTGCAAGAAGTTAAAAGCCTGCAGCTTGGCAAAAAAAAAAAAAAAAAAAACTAGTTGAATTAGATTCACAAAAATCAAGACTTATCTTCTTAACCACCAGGCACAGAGATTTACCAGGATGGAGTCAGGAACAGGGGAGAAGGGAACGGAATACTAGCTCTGCCAACAGACAGCTAATGTGCAGAAGAATCTGCTAGGAAAATCTGAGGGGTAAGATGCAGATGTAATAAAATCAACGCCAAGGAAAGGAGGGGGAAAGAAGTTAATGGGAATTCCAGTAATACCCAATTCTGAGGAACCTGAAATGGCATGGAAGAGACATAATGTATCTGGAAGTCCATTCTAGGCCCCGTCTGGTGAGGCTTAGGGGAAGAATTCTGAATGTCACACTGAATGGTGCAACTTTGATAGTTTTACACTTTAAGGGGACTTGTCCTGCATTCCCTGAGAGATATCACTATATAAAAACTGACAAAGTAGGCTACCTGTCAAAGAAACTAATAAAAGTGCTATAATTATAAGCAAAGGGAGAACTATCTATCATCCCCATTGAAGCAATGTTCTCTTGTTCCCCAGAAGACATGAGGTAATCACCTGGGAGTAGATACCACCAACATAGCATCAGCTGACCATGGCCACCTTGAGATAAGTCCATGAGAGCCATAAGCAGTTCCCAACCACCAGCGTTCTCTGTCTTCATGTCTCTCCTAGTTTCCCTAAGGCTCAAAACTCATTTCTGATCTGAAAACTCAATTGGCGTGATCAGATGGCATTGGCTAGCCTTCTCACCATTCATCCCAGAGTATCACCATTACTTTTTTTGTCCTTCTCTCATCCATCTCCCTGGTACCCATTGCTCCACAACTCACAAGCACTCAGCATAACTCTAGCTTCTATTCTCAACCAGCTAGGTAAGTAATGCTGGCAGAGAGGGGAGCAAGATATTTCTTGAAATCTTTTAGAAAAATGAAAGATATAACTTTTCTATTTGAGGACAACAAACCCAGTCATTATACCATCAGGACTGTTATTTAGAGTTGAACCCCTCCAGATTTCTTGCCAGGAAATTAGAAAAAGGGATTATAATGCCAAGACTGCCTTAACCACCAATGTCTAGGGATAATTTGGAAAACATATGTATTACCTTTTTGTAATGCCTTCAATGATCATGCATTTATCTGGTTTCTTAAAAATCTATTGCTGACTTTAGCCTCAAGCAGTCGTAAAGTCTCCCAATTTTCTACATAAAAACTACTTCTAAAAGTCCCCTCATTCCTCAGGCCTATGAGTGTTTATATTATTAGTTCAAGGTAGGTATGACCAAGTATCTGCTCATCACATCAATAACCAAAGCTCTGAATTTCCTTTTGTGTTTGGGGTCAACATAAAAATGTCAAGATATTGCACACAAAAGATATGTGAAGATGTTGCACACAAAATCTTCAGCTTTACTCATTGCTTTCTGAGATTTTGTAAATCTCAAAGACTTGCTTTTGAAAGGCATCTCAATCATGGCTATGTACTGGAATCACCTGAGAATATTTACAAACAGATTTTGATTTAATTGCTCTAAACTGGGGCCTATAAAAAACATGGAGATTACAATAAATAGGTTTAATTGTAGATTAATTTAAAAAAATTTAAGCTCCCCAAGTGATGCTAATGTGCAGCTAATATTCAGAACCTTCTAGAGCAGTGGTTGTCATTGTATAAGCCTAGTAAATCAGGAACTCTGGAGACATACCCAGCAATGTGTCTTTGAAAGCCTTCTAGGGCTTTTTGATATTTGCTTAAGAATAAAACCACTGTTCTGGAGTGTAGCAGTAAATACTATGACATTAGTTCTCAAAGTGTAGTGCCCAAATCAGCAGCATCAGCATTATCTGGAAACTTATTAAGAATGCAAATTCTTGGTTTCCACCTCAGACTTATTGAATTAGAAAGTCTGGAGGTGGACCCACTGATGTGTGATTTAACAAGCCCTCCAGGTAATTCAGAATTACTGTACTTTACGAAACAGAACCAATGAAAATGAAGTTTTTGATAGACACACAAAGAAAAAAAGAAGGAGGGAAAGAAAGAAGGAAGAAAGGAAGGACGAGAGGAGGAAAGAAAGGTGCGAAGGTGGGAAAGCAGGCAGTCAGGCAAGAGTTTTTCGGTTGGTTATTTTGCAGTCTTGTACTAGTTTGATCCTTTTAATACAGGCTGAGTGGTAGATGATATTGTTCTTTAAAGAAGAATGACAAGGGACAAACAGAAGGTTATTTATAGCAAAATTAGCGGGCAACCAAAACAGAATTTGCAACTATATCTATGACTCCAAGACACAGCCGTTCCTTTATGGCACTAGAAGGACATTGAACCACTATAGACTTGATTGACAACTGCCTGGCCCAGTTTCATATGGCTAGTTATTCTTGTCCTTGTATAAATTAATTTGTAAAATGTAGATCACCTGGAAGAAACCAAAAATATAAATAATAGCTTATACTTATCATTTACTAAACATCAGGCATCATTTGACTCTCACAACAATGCTATGTGGTAGATACAATAATCTGATTTTACGTATATGGAAATTGAGAGTTTAAATATTGTGCCCAAGGTCAGGTCCCCTAACAGGAGAAGTCTGGGTTTAAACCTAAACAGTCTAACCCCACAGTCACACACTTAATCATTACATCAGTAGTTCTCAGCCAGGAGCAGTTTTGTCCTCCAGGGGATATCTGGCAATATCTGGAGATACTTTTGGTCATTACGTATTGTGGGAAGGTGCTACTGGCATCTGATATGAAGAGGACAGTATGAAAAAGTTCTGACGATGCACAAGACAGCTTCCCAATGCAACGAATTATCTGGCCCAATGTGTCAATGGTGCTGAGGTTGAGAAACTCTGTCCAAGTACAAGTAAAGGAGAGGTCCCAAGGACAGGCCATTTAATCTGCAAATAATAACTATTTAAATTGTTGCATTCTTTCTCCCTTTTACTCAGGAGATTCCAAAATGTCTCAAAGTTAAGAATATCTCATGGCCACAGCACAGGTCTAGAGTCTCTTCTAAAACTAGAACTGACTATTCCAGTCTTATGAGTGAATGTTCACTCACGTCTAGAAATAGCAACTTATTCTCTATCGAGGGATAAGCATTGCATCTAGCAGTGTCTTTAATGAGTCTGCAGTCAGTAAGCAGAGAGCACTACATACTACCAGAACCCCAGGTAATTAAGCATGTGGGCTACTAACTTGTTAGTGTATCACAATTTTTATCTAGCCTTATCATTGTCATAAAGGAAACTAAATTAACTTACAAACTCCGGCTCCTGAGTGTAATAGAAAGACTTAGCTGAATTAATTAAAATACTATCAGATTCTTGCCCTGTAAATTTCTACTTATGGGTCTGGATCCATGAAGGGGTAATTTTCTCAGAATGCAATGCAATGAAGGAGGTCTCTGTGTGAGAGATTAGCTGCCACTTGGTAAGTTTGATCAATAGAGATGGCCAATCCAAATAATAGGAGAAAGCCTTTATGAGAATCTGACTAAAGACAAGGAAAGATATTTCAAATAAGCTGGGAAGATTTTTGAATAGAGAAGCAGTCTCATTGAAGCTAAACACACATGGCCCCCTTCTACTCACCTCCTTTAAGACATAACTTATTATTCAGAAATGGTCATCAGCATGAAATTGTATGCCTTCTAATCATTTAGGGTTCAGACAGACTTTGCTACTTCTGATTGAGGGGGAACCTCTCTATCTCTGCCTCTCTGACAGCTGTCTCTCTCATCTCTCATCACCAGACTGTCTCAGCACGTTATCTGTAGCACACAGACCCTTGTCATTTTTACCTGGGTTCGCAGTTCCTGATCCGCATGTCTTCCCTAGATCCAGAGTGTATGAACAGGGTCTTGCAATATCTTTAATCCTTGACCAAACCATCTAATAATAAAATGAACTTAATAAATATTTGCTAAATGAATGAACAAACAGTTGAAAATATCTTTCATTCCCATATCTACTGTGTTACAGCCAGCTCCCTCCCACCCAGTATGTCACTCTTTTATAAAGGGGAAAGAGAAAGAGAGAGACAGTTTCTGTAGCATACGGAAAGATATCCAAACTATGCAATGTCATGGAGAGGTAAATAAGATAAGGAAGGGGGACACTTAGGAACATTTAACATCTGTAAAAGACCAAGGTGTTGTGAGTCTTCTGTGTGATATGCAAGGTCTTTTCCTGTATTTTGGAGATTCACAAGGGCCTACACTGCAATCTCAAAGGACTCTGGGGTACTGAAAGGGAGGCTAAATGGGTTCTCTGTGTCTCTCTTTTCCATCAGCAGAACATTATATCTGTTTTATGTATCCAGGACCTAAATTATATTATATTTAAAAATAGGGGTTTTCTGTCCAAAAAAAGCTTATAAAATCACTAATTTAGTTGAATCTTCTAATTCTGCCACTGAAATAATAGAAGCCTCAGGTGAAATAAACTCCCCACATTCACAAGACTAACAAATGGCTGAATCAGCACTAAGTCATTGATCGGTTTCCAGTGCCCAGTGGACCATTCTTCAATGTTCTGGGAGAAGTTGGTGTGATGAGGAGGAGCAAAGGAGAGAGGAACGGGAGACAAGAAGCATCTGGGAGCATGCTCACCTAGGAATGTTAACTTATTATATGAGCCAGCATCATCAGCCTCATACTTAAGTAGATTGTGTGCACTACTGAGGTGCCTCTAATACCCACTACTCTAGGTTAAAGCATGTGCATCTAGGAGTTAATTCCTATTCCAAAAGAAATGCACACACCAGGAGACGAAATGCACTACGTCACTAGCAGTCACGTGTCCAGCCTCTCACTAACCTAGAAGCACAGCGCCGGCCAGGCGCGGTGGCTCACTCCTGTAATCCCAGCATTTTGGGAGGCTGAGGCCGGTGGATCACCTGAGGTCAGGAGTTCAAGACCAGCCTGACCAACATGGTGAAACCCTGTCACTACTAAAAATACAAAAATTGCTGGGTGTGGTGGCAGGCGCCTGTAATCCCAGCTACCAGGAGGCTGAGGCAGGAGAATCATTTGAACCCAGGAGGCAGAGGTTGCAGTGAGCTGAGATCGTGCCATTTCACTCCTTCCTGGGTGACAGGGTGAAACTCTGTCTCAAAAAAAAAAAAAAAAAAAAAAAAAAAAAAGCACAGCGCTGAACAAAGACTCATTCATCACTCCAGGAAATAGGGCACAAAGGAGAGGGTGTTAGATGGAGTAAATCAGCATAGACAAGTCTGCGTTGCGGCATGAGAATCCTGCATACTCAGGACAAAAGAAAAAAATGTCTACAGTGGTTTGACGATTGTATCATGATCTGGCAAAAGCCTGTTTACAAAAGCCTGTTTGCTCACAGAGGTTCTTGCAGAAGAAATGAGAGCTTTAGTGAGAAAACCTCCAGCTTCAGAAAAAGAATCCTTGATTTTGAGTTCCAGCTTTATTTTTTCAGAGCATTGTGTCTGTGGACAAGTTGCTTCACTTCTCTGAGTCACTGTATATTTTCATCTGAAAATAAAAACATGATCTTGGCCAGGTGCAGTGGCTCACGCCTGTAATCTCAGCAATTTGGGAGGCTTAGGCAGGCAGATCACGAGGTCAGGAGATTGAGACCATACTGGCTAACACGGTGAAACCCCATCTCTACTAAAAAAAAAACAAAAAATTAGCCGGGCGTGGTGGCGGGCGCCTGTAGTAGTCCCAGCTACTTGGGAGGCTGAGGCTGGAGAATGGCGTGAACCCGGGAGGCGGAGCTTGCAGTGAGCCACGATCGTGCCACTGCACTCCAGCCTGGGCGACAGAGCGAGACTCCATCTCAAAAAAAAAAAACAAAACATGATCTTGTCCCGTCTACTTTACAGAATAGATGTGAGAATCAGGCAATATACTACTTAATATCTGTGAAAGTGCTTACTAATGGTAAAAAATGGTAAAAAAAAAAAAAAAAAAAAAAAGTAACATTGTGGCATATCTTACACTAATAATCATAGGATTTAGCAAAGGGAAATAGACTATGGGTAGCATCTTTTGTGACTAGGGCCCTGGTTTTAAGCTTAGTGCCCAACACCTTGAAGAGCCAGTGCCTGAGGAAGGTGCTAATGGGCACAGCTGCTCTGGCTGTGTACTTCAGTGTCATTCACACTTAAGTACTCAGCAAGAGCAGAAATTCCTTTAAAAGTAACCTAAGCAAATCAGGAAAGCAGCCAATGCTGCATTGCAGACGTGGCTCTGTTTCCCTGTGTAAAAAGAACATCATGCTTGCTGCAGGGATTTCAGAGACACTTAGTGCTTGGTTTGAAATTTGGGCTTTGTTCCTTTTTTTTTTCCTTCTTTTTATTTTAAGTGGAATCAGCTAGGTGCTGCTGATATTTGTAGTGTGACAAAATAGTGATTCACTGCACAGAACCAGGTCCTAGCAGCAATTTGCAGGGGAAATAAATACAGGAGCAATCACAAGTATTATCTTCCTAGCCAGCATGATGTGATATAAAACAAAGAATTTCAACGGAGGGAAGGAAGTGTCCCTCTAGAGTGGGGGAAGTATAATCTTTGTTGCTTTCCAGATAGAAACTTTGAGGACTGGCTCCCAAACTGCAGATATGCTGCTTTCAGAGAAAAATCTTTGACCTCTCTAACTTTCCAAAGGAGCTGTAATTAGAATAATGCAGTGATTTTTTCTCACTCTTTTTGAAATATAAGAGAGTAGCCCTAATAGCTAGATAAATCTCTGATGCCTCTCCCAGTGGACTTCCTGCTTATTGAACCCATTTGCCATGTGTTGATTTTGCAAAATGAGTCAACAAGAATAAGATGGTTAATGTATTAGGGTGATTATGGGTCCAGGCCACCATCAGAGGGAAAACACATGTTAACATTACCTTACTTAATGTCACAAAGAAAGTATTGAAAACAAATAAATGTATAATTGTTCCCTGTGTGCCAGGTACTGTGCTAAGTGCTTTAAAAATATAATCTTATATAATCCTTACACCAACTTCAGAAGACACATTCTGAATTTTGCCTTTAGAGCCAGAGATGAATTGAAGGATGAATGCAAAGTTACACCAACTCCAGAAAATACATCCTGAATTTTGCCTTCAGAACCAGAGATGAACTTAAGGATGAATGCTAAGACTTCAATAGGAAAAGCTCTTTCACTTGTCTGATGCTGCCCCCACCTCCTACCCCTGTGCCACCTTCTTCACTTGACATTGAGAACACAGACTACCATATTGAATACTATCCCAATAGCTAGTGTACATATTTCTTTCAAAACATTTCGTAACATATTTTCCCTTATCAAACTTGATCTTGGGAAATGGTCTTCATCAACTATTTTAGTCTAACAGTCATAGGGCTCACTTGCCCAAAATACTTGTAAGATTCATCTTTTCCTGGTGATGGAAGTCTATGGTGGGTGTCCATTACATAACCTAGATCACAGTGTAGTTGTTGTGGCTGGAATCAAGATGGAAAACATGTTGGTGACTGAGAAATCTGAAAGAAATTCTTAATACTTTGCAGAGCATAATTAAAATCTAATAATGTGGTTCACCTATATCTTAAAGCTGTAAAAGCTGATAACTGCAGAGATTAAGCAACCTTCATTTGGAGAAATGAGTTAAGAAAGGATTGGGGTTCAGTTGTCCTGTAAAACCAATTGTCTTTCCACTGGATTACAAAATGGAATGAAGAGTTGGTGAAGGTGACAGAGAAGGGAGGGCAGAGAGTGTAGGGAACATTCCAGGAGATTACTGTATTTTAGGAAAACCAAATAGGAGAATAAAATTCAAATAGAGAATACTCCAAACAGCCCATAATGTTGCAGAGAATTCAAAGAGGCTAGAGACTAAAAAACAAACACTTCATTTGGTTATTAAGAAGTCATTGGAAACTGTTGAGTGGGTAATTAAAAAAATGATGGGACATGCACCAAAGCGAAGGGAATTGAAAGATTGTGGGAAACTAAGTAGTAGGAGACTGTCAACTATCAAAACATGAAGAGAAGGAAACGTACCTGATGCACTGAATGGGTTTTAGGATGGGAGTGACCTAAGTAAGTTTATGGGTGAAGAGGGGTAGATTGCTGTGAGATGACATCATTGAAGAATAAGAGGTGGGATAGAGAGGTGGGATAAAGAGAATGAGATCAAACCAAATCAGAGTGGATATACAGGAAGACTTTGGGATAGAGAATACATAAAATAAAGTAAATTGCTTGGATTTGAGATAAAGATGAAAAGGCACAGGAAATTTAGAATGTAATCTGATCTATCAATCAGTACAGAATTGTATTTGAGTAAGATTTTTGGATAAGTGTCATGTCTTTTATCAAGATTTTGTGACAAATAATTGGATGTAGCAGGAATCCAGGCTCATTGATGCATTGTATTATGCCTACCATAAAGCAAGCTCAAAAATGCACCCAGAAATATCTGGAATGAGCCCTTTAATCTCATCTAGAACAGGACAGATTATACTTATATGGATACACACACACATACACACACACACACAGAGAGAGAGAGAATAATTATTGCTTTAAGTAATTGGCACAGAAATGAAAAAAGAAAAGAAAGAAAGAGGGAAGGCAAAATTTCTGCTTCTGATAGACTTAGAGTCTTTTTGGGAAGGCAAAGTCAGCCCTAATGGGAAATAACTGGGTCATTTAGAGTGGATCATACATCAACCGTGGTGCCAAAGAAAATGTTATGGACAAAATGTCTGAGAGCTGAGCATTTGCATATAATGCAGATATCATGGGCTGGCAGTAATCACTCAGGCTTCCTGGAGTTTGAATATAAACAAAGAAGTATTTAGGTTTCCACAATTAAGTATTAATGTTCTTTTCACCAAGAACAAATAATTTTATTTAAATGTTTTTTTCCAAGTCTCTGAAGAAATACAGGAAGTCTTCAATCCAACACCTGAGGAGTCATTTGAGGTTACTTTAGATGAAGCTCGTATTTTTTTTAAGTGAAAAATGTACTGTTTATTACACATACTTCTTGATAAATCAGGCATTGGTATATTTCTTAAAATTATGAGTCCTTTTACTGTGCATTGTTAACTGGCCTATACCTCAATAATTATTGCAGATTTTCTTTCTCTATTTAATTAGGTGATTTGATTTGTACTTTATATAATTATAGTATTTGTCTCCTCCTTTGTCCAAGGCAAAATTGTAATCATTAGGTCTACTACCCAAGGCTGCTAAATGAATATTTACTAAAATAAAAAAATAAGCCACTGAAAAGGGTATAATTGTATCTGAACCAGAAAATTTCCATTTCATATCCATCATCTTAATTTCATTGTGGCTGCTGAACTCAAAATGAAAAGGCACAGAAACCCCAGGGGAAGGCAGAACAGTAACATCATTATATCTTCACAGAAAATAAGTTCCTAAGAGCTCAGTGCAAACAGCATACCCTCCCTCCACATAGTCTATATACATCCAAGCTTCGAGACAGTCAAGATCACACCTTTGTCAGCAGACGGCCTTTGGACTCAAACTGCAACTCTTCCCTGCATGTCCTGCCTGCCAAGCCTACCCTGCAGATTTAGGACCTACCAAGCCTCCACAATTGTATGAGCCAATTCTTTAAAAGAAATGTCTCAGGGCAGGTGCGGTGGCTCACGTCTGTAATCCTAGCATTTTAGGAGGCCAAGGCAGGCAGATTACCTGAGGTCAGTTCAAGACCAGCCTAACCAATATAGTAAAACCCCATCTCTACTAAAAATACAAAAATTAGCCAGGTGTGATGGTGGGTGCCTGTAGTCCCAGCTACTCAGGAGGCTGAGACAGGAGAATCACTTGAACCCGGGCAGCGGAGGTTGCAGCGAGCTGAGATCTCGCAGTTGCACTCCAGCCTGGATGGCAGAGTGAGACTCCGTCTCAAAAAAAGAAAGAAAGAAAAGAAATCTGTGTGTGTGTGTGTGTGTGTGTGTGTGTGTGTGTGTGTGTGTGTGTATGTGTATATATATATTATATATATATATATATATATAAAATCTGTCTGTTCTGCTTCTTTGGAGAACTCTGACTAATACACCAGATTCAACTTTATTTTTTTTTTTTTTTTTTTTTTTTTTTTTGAGACGGAGTCTCGCTCTGTCGCCCAGGCCGGACTGCGGACTGCAGTGGCGCAATCTCGGCTCACTGCAAGCTCCGCTTCCCGGGTTCACGCCATTCTCCTGCCTCAGCCTCCCGAGTAGCTGGGACTACAGGCGCCCGCCACCGCGCCCGGCTAATTTTTTGTATTTTTAGTAGAGACGGGGTTTCACCTTGTTAGCCAGGATGGTCTCGATCTCCTGACCTCATGATCCACCCGCCTCGGCCTCCCAAAGTGCTGGGATTACAGGCGTGAGCCACCGCGCCCGGCCAGATTCAACTTTATTTATTATTGTTGTTGTTGTTTCAATCAGAAAATATTTTCATTCAAACTGTTTTGGTCAGGGAAATGATCATGGTATCTTTGCTGAGACTCGAACTCTGTAAACCTGGTTATAATATCTATTACATGAACCAGAGTTACTGTACCTTTGTCTGGAACCTCAGTTCCCTCTCTTAAGATCATGGGGGGTGGGTGGGTGGGAGGAGACTGAGTCAGGGACTGAGGTTTCTTTGCCATATGGTATCAAATATGTGACATAATTTATTTAATGTTTAATAAATCATTGATGGATTATTTTATTTAGTGCTCCATCACTTTGCTTGTGAATGAACAATAGTAATTATTGCCCACCTGATCTAAATCAAAATATAAGCTTTGTTACCATTCATTATAGTATGTTGGGGAAAAAATGTTTTCTTAGACCTTATCTTGCTGGGTTCTTTGTAGCACTGGGAACTGCTTTCACTCCTTTGGTGAAGGGGTCTTCTCCTGCCTTAATTTCAGCAACATATTTCCTTCTGTTTCTGATTCAAGCAGAGACAACAACTGGAAAAGGTATTTACAGTAAGTATGGCAAAGGCTCGAATTCCTCAATAAGTAAGGAATATAGTCAAAGCAATAAAATTTCACCGAGACAAAAACCAGCAACTAGAAGTTGTAAAATAAGGATATTTTGTGATAGCCAAATATTGGAAAAATTATTTTACCTCATGATTAATCAAACAAATACAAATTTCCATAATGTGAAGGAGTTTTTCAGCCATATAATTAGCAAAGATTTCTCTTATTTTAATTCTAGACCTGATAGGAAGGTATGGTGAGCCTGATGGGGTGGTAGAAATCAGTACAGAATGTTTAGAAAATCATTTGGCAATCTGCATCAACAGACTTGAAATATCCAAACCCCCAAATCCATTGTTAGGTACCTTTCTCATGCATTAGTCATCAATCAGAGTGTGGAGAGAGTTCTATGTGAAGAGGTGCTTGTTAGACCATTATGTAAAATGACAACAACAAAAAAGAGACATAGATAATAATAGACAAATGGATAATTAAATAATACATCCACTTAATAAAAAATTAAGCAACCACTAAAATTATGCTTATTAAGAGTTCGTAGTAACATAATGTTAAATGAGAAATAAAACAAGATACGAACAAAGCTATATTTAATATAATTTTTCTGAGAAGACCTTTGTTCTGCTTTCCTGTAGGCCACACAGGCCACAGACCTGGTGACAACTCCATGATGTTTTTTTCCTCATCAGAGAAAAAGGCAAATTCAAAGGGAATGTTTCAGGAGAGGCTGGCAAGTAGAGGGTGACTTTTTGCCAGTGTTGCTGATTCAGTGGCAAGTTATGCGTGTAGATTTGAAGCATTGAAACACATGGGCTAAGCACTCAGTCCTGACTGCAAAGCCCAGCTCTACTATAGGTTCTCTAATCTTAGGTTTGTTCCTTTAACAATCTTAGCTTCAGTTGTTTCATCCACAAAGGAGAAATATTAATAATATGTCTCCTACATAATCCAGTTATTAGAATTAAATAAAATTGTTATTTAAATTACATCACAGTGCCTGGCACACTGTAAATGCTCAATAATTTCTAGTTAATTTTATGCTGGGAAGATTTGCCTGATGAAATAAAGCATATGTTCTCATCTGTTCCATTAATTAATTAAGACTAAATTAATTAAGACTTAATAGAATTCATAGTGTGGAAACCTAACTACTTCTTAACATAGTCCAATATGTTCCCTTTCTGGTAAATTAGCTGTAGCAATGGTCACTACCTCCTAGGATTTTTGAGTGGGGGGTGAACGAGATAATGCATTTAATATGCTCAGCAGAGTGCTTGGCAGGGAGTAAAACAATCAATAAGATGATAGCTTTTAAAAAGAAAAAGAAAAAAAGAAAGAATATACTCTTCATTATAATTTTAGTTAAATGAAGAGTTTCTTCACCAATCTGTTGACCAATCAGCTTCTACTGCTTGCTTACTAAAGGCCAGAATCTGTGCAGATGCAACATGGATTTGCACACGTAACTACAAGAGCCAACACAGTAGAGCAATGTGTCAAATGTTAAGGAAAATAATTTTCATTGTGCTTCATGGAATTTTTGTTCTTTAAATACATTTTTTTGCTACTGTTGCTCAAGAAGTGTAATTTCCACCTAAGGGGCCGGAAATGGAGAGTTTGGATGAATAATAACAACAGCTTTGTGAGTTTAAAAAGGATAAATGTGACTTGGCTAATTTGATAGTGATTTCTTTTCAAATTTGGAAGAAAAGAGTAACTAAAGAAAGCAGAATTTTCTAATTTGTATTTCACTTAAAATGCCACTGTGTATTTCTGAAAAGCTAATGACAAAATTAGCTGTAAGTGGTGTGAAAAAGAAACCATCCAAAGGCTTGAACAGGAAGGTGCCACAAATGAAATAGTCCCCACTGTGCGTTCCAGATTGGAGCAGAGATGCAGGAGATTTGGAAGCAAAAGCAAAATGGAAGGGATTATAACTGCAAACAGCAGTGTTTGGGAAAAATTACCAACCATGTGATAGAATGGAAAAGCTCAATCTGAAGATTTAAGAAGTGAGGAAAAACAGCAGCATGCTACTAGTACTAACCCTGTAACAACACTTTAAGCTTCAGAATCTTACCTTCCTCGCACAAGTGCACACACATACACATATGCACACACACAGGTATATATGGAAAGAGCTTTTTTTTTAGCTTTTTTTTTTTTTTTTTTTTTTTGAGACGGAGTCTCGCTCTGCCGCCCAGGCTGGATTGCAGTGGCACCATCGCTGTTCACTGCAACCTCTGCCTCCCGGGTTCAAGCGATTCCCCTGCCTCAGCCTCTCTAGTAGCCACGACGCCCAGCTAATTTTTTGTATTTTTAGTAGAGACGGGGTTTCACCGTATTAGCCAGGGTGGTCTCAATTCTCAATCTCCTAATCTCGTGATCCACCCGCCTCGGCCTCCCAAAGTGCTGGGATTACAGGTGTGAGCCACCACGCCTGGCCTAGAATGCTCTTTAGGAAGGGAAGGTTATGAATGTCAGTTGATCTCCATCGTCAGTTATGAGGACAATGGAAAAGGAAATGGACTGGGTCTGCAGTTATAAAAATAATTGCCAGCATTTACAGCTTTCAAAGCATTTTCACAAACATTATCACATTGGTACTTAGCACAGTTATGTATGTTATAAAGAAAGAACATTAGTATTCCCTTTACATTAGGAAACAGAAGCACAAAATAGAAGAGTTGAGACACAGAAATTAGTCTTAGCGCGTAAAGCACATGGTTCTTTATTTCCACAAAACTGAGGAATTTGGGGCAAAAAAACAAAACAAAACAAAAAAACACTGCTTTTTGTGATGGCAAATACCAAGATGTCGTTACAGACTATTTATGTATTAGCCACATCGGCACAAAGTCACTTAGTTAAATTAATATTCCCACTTTTGTATTCTTATTTCACAAAATAACAATATGCTTAACTGTTGTTAATCACATGACCTTCCCACCAAAATATAGACAATGTAGTAATGTTGTCATTTTTTTTTCCAAATAATTTCCCTAGATCATCAGTTTTTGGCGACCTTTGCCTCAGGCCCCGAATCCTTCTTGAACTTGAAGCCACACGCTGATCACTGGGGATCTTGTTAAAATGCAGATCGTTGTGTTAGTTTATCCTTTCCCTAAAAGACTAGAACAACCTGGAATGTGAATCCCAAGAAAATACCCAGCTGGGGACTGAAACCTTTGATAAAGTTGTACGTGTATTCCTTCTTAGAGGATCGTGGAATGGTTCTCCTTTCCACCACTCCTGGTCATATGCGGCAGGAGCTACCTTAGCTGCGCATCACCCCAGGGCTTCTTGAACTTGAGTCTGCATAGGAATTACCTGGGAATCTTGCTAACAGGCAGATTCTGATTCTGTTATTCTGAAATGGGGACCTGGGATTCTGCATTTCTAACCTACTCCCACCTGATGCTGATGATGCTGGTCTGTGGACCCCATCTGTAATAGCAATGATGTAGACCATCCAGATTTAATCTCTTCACATATTCTTTTTCCTTTGGATACTTCAATCATATATGACAGTAGGTTTTCTTTTGAGAGTTGGTGAATACTTACATTCATATCATTGTGTTTTTGTGCCATAATGCACAGAAAAATATTAAGCTTTCTTTTTCTTCCTATTCTATTTTACAGTATTGTTTACTTATTCATACATATATTAATAAGTATTGGGCTAGTATTTGAGTACTGACTATGTTTTTACCTCTTCCTCCTCAACACTTCCCCTCCACGGTTTGGCCAAACATGGCCAGGTCTCCTCGGCTCTTAGACTAGGGGAAGAAGCAGGATAGATCCGGACTCACTTCTTCCTGGATCTGTGTCCTCTGGGGTGCTGTCTGCCAAGATACGTGGGGTGGGGGTAAGAGACAGAGGTGGAATGATGTAAGACAAACCACTTTGGAACTATTTGGGAATGATCTTCCCTCAACCCCACAAAGGCTGGCTGAGAAATAGAGACAAATTCTCTGAGAGCCATGAATGTGCAGCAGGAACCAGCTCTAGGAATCCTGAATCCATTTCTCCTCACTCCTATTTTACAGTAAGGGAAACTGTGTCCCAAAGATGGAAAGTTGCTCACCTAAGAGTTTATCAAATACACTATTGACATAATTGGCTTTTCTTCTCACAGCTTTCAATCTGAGAGGCAATCCTCCTTGGACCTCACACCCTGGCTAGGAAACCATTCACAGTATTTATAGTTAGCATTTAAGTCTTTCCCATGGCTCCTACCTGAGGTCACTACCACACAGGCTGGCAAAAAATTCCACTACTTTTTGTTTTTCAGAGAAAGTTTTTATTTCTCTTTCATTTTTGAAAGATAATTCCACAGGGTACAGAATTCCAGATTGGTGGGCTTTTTTCTCTTAAGAGTTTAAATATTTCACTGCACTCTCTTCTTATTTGCAGGGTTTCTGGGAAGTCAGATCTATTTCTTATCTTTCTTCCTCAATAGGTAAGGTATTTTATTTTGCCCTCTGACTTCTTTAGGATTTTTTTCAATTTTACCTTTGAGTTTCTCTATTTTGAACATGATATGCCTAGTTATACGTTATTTGTTTGTTTGGTTTTGACATTCTTCCTACTTGGTGTTCTTTGCATATCCTGTATCTGTGGTTTGTTGTTTGACACTACATTGGAAAAATTTTGTCATCCTATCTTTAAATATTGCTTCTCTTCCTATCTCTCTTTCTTCTCCTTTGGTATTCTTATTATGCATATGTTGCACCTTTTTAAAATAACTTGTAAAGGGTTGGTACTATTTCTTCTTTAAATATATGTATGGTAGAATTTAAGTGAAACTGTCTGGGCCTGTGCTTTTCTTTGCAGGTAGATTCTTGATTACAAAACCAATCTCTTCATTTTCTATAGGTATATTCAGATTGTCCATTTCTTCTGGAATCAGTTTGGTAGTTTATATGTTTTTAGGATTTACTTCATTTCATCTCAATTATCTAACTCTTTGGCATACAATTATTCATAATATTCTCTTATCATCCTATTTATGTAAAGCGAGTGGTAATTTCTCCTCTTTTATTTCAGATTCTCATAATTTGAGTCTTTTTTAATTGATGAATCTGGCTAAAGGTTTGTCAGCCTTTTGATATTTTCTAAAAACAAGCCTTTAGTTTCATTGACTTTTTCTATTGTTTGTCTATTCTGTATTTCATTAATTTCTGCTCTAATTTTTATTATTTCCCTTCTTCTACTTTAGGTTTGTTTTAATTTTCTTTCTTGGTTCTCTTCAGATGAAAGGATACATTATTGATTTGAGAGTTTTCGTTCTTCTTAATGTAGGCATTTATAGCTATAAGTTTCCCTGTAAGCACTGCTTTAGTTGCATACCATAAGTTTTAGCATGATGTGTCTTCATTTTCACTTATCTCAGAGTATATTGAGATTTATCTTTTTATGTCCTCTTTGATCCTTTGGTTATTTAGGACTATGTTTAATTTCCACATATTTGTGGGTTTTCCAGATTTATCCTGCTATTGATTTTTAATTTTATTTGATTATAGTCAGAGAACATACTCTGTATAATTTTATTCCTTTCAAATTTATCAATATTTGTTTATGATCTATCTTGAAAACGTCCCAGGTACATTGGAGAAAAGAATGTGTATTCTGCCATTTTCAGTGGGGCACACTATAAAAATATTAATATTTAGGCCTAGTTGGGTTATGTGGTTGTTCAACTCTTCTATTTCCTTATTGCTTCCTTATTGATCATCTGCTTAATAGTTTTCTTCCTTAATAAAATGTGTGATAAAATTCTCCAACTATGAAATAGGAACACTTTTACACTGTTGGTGGGACTGTAAACTAGATCAACCATTGTGGAAGACAGTGTGGCAAATCCTGAAGGATCTAGAACTAGAAATACCATTTAACCCAGCCATCCCATTACTGGGTATATACCCAAAGGATTATAAATCATGCTGCTATAAAGACACATGCACACGTATGTTTATTGCGGCACTATTCACAATAGCAAAGACTTGGAACCAACCCAAATGTCCATCAATGATAGACTGGATTAAGAAAATGTGGCACATACACACCATGGAATACTATGCAGCCATAAAAAAAGGATGAGTTCATGTCCTTTGTAGGGACATGGATGAAGCTGGAAACCATCATTCTCAGCAAACTATCGCAAGGACAGAAAACCAAACACTGCATGTTCTGACTCACAGGTGGGAATTGAACAATGAGAACACTTGGACACAGGGTGGGGAACATCACACACTGGGGCCTGTCATGGGGTGGGGGTTGGGGGAGGGATAGCATTAGGAGAAATACTTAATGTAAATGACAAGTTAATGGGTACAGCAAACCAACATGTATACCTATGTAACAAACCTGCACATTGTGCACATGTACCCTAGAACCTAAAGTATAATTTAAAAAAAAAAGAAAAAAAAAATTTAAAAGCCCTAAGCCGAGTATTTTATCTAAAAAATCTATCTAAAAGAATAATCAGAGGTGCAAAGATTATTCATGAGACAATACTTATAATAAAGAAAATTCAAAATAAAACAATTCTCCAACTATTGTTGAATAGTCTATTTTTCTCTTGATTTACATGAGTTTTTTGTTTCATACAGTTTGATGTTCTGTTTAGAGCACATGTTTATAATTATTATATCTTCTTGATCAATTGACTCTTTTACTATTACAAAATTTTCCTGTATATCTCCAGTAACTTTTTTTGTTTTAAAATCTATTTTGTCTCATATTAGTATAATTATTCCTGCTTTTTTGTGGTTGCTTTTTGCACAATATAAATTTTTCAGTCATTTACTTTCAATATATTTAAATTGCACATATAATTGAATCATAATTTTTAAATTCAGTTTGACAATCTGCATTTTAATTGGATTATTTAACCATTAACATGTAATATTATTGATATAGAGTTGATAATCATTATTCACATATGACATATTTGTAGATTCACCTAATCACCAAAATCTATTTGTCACCCCAGAGTCAATACTTCCATTGATTTTTGTGGTCACTGTATAAAACAGTGAAAAATTTGAGTCACTTGATATGTACAATTCCAGTTATGGTCAAAAAAGGTAAAATTCTTTCTTCTTGTTTTGGCTTTCATACTGCAAAGAAGAAACCTTTTTATGGCTTATTTCATGTCAATGTTTTTTTGAAGTTTTGTGTTTCTACTTGTCATTTCTCTGTTTATAATGGTCCCCAAACATACTGCCAAAGAGCTATCTAGTGTTTCCAAGCACATGAGGCTATATGCTTATATGAGAAAATATATATATTAAATAAGCTTGATTTAGGTATAGTTATAGTGCTGTTGACCATGAGTTAAATTTCAATGAATCAACAATGTATATTCAATAAGATGCCTTTAAACAGTATCACACAGAAAACATGCTTACGTATTAACTAGTTGATGACAATGCTGTGAGATATTATATGAAATATACTCATATATATAGAATTTGCTACATACAGTTGACTCACATGAATATAGAAAATGAGAGGTCCAAGGTTTGCAGTTGGCAAGGAGACCCAGGAGTGCTGATGGTAAGTTCTAGCCCAAGTTTGAAGGCCTGAGAACCAGAAAAGCTGATGGTGTAATTTTCAGTGCAAGTCTCATATGTAGGCATGAAAGAAACAAATGTTTTCGCTCAAAAATAGGCAGAAAGAAATAATTCTTTCTTGCATATCATTTATTCAAATCTGCAACAAATTGCATGAGGCCCACCCACACTGGAGAGGGCAATCTGCTTTACTCAGTGTACATATACAAATGTTAATCTCATCCAGAAAAATCCCTCACAGACAAACCCAGATACAATGTTTAACTGTTTAAAGCCCAGGCACCTTGTGGCCTAGTCAAGTTGACGCATAAAATTAAACACCAGAGGTATTTATTTTGCTTTCATTTTTGAAAGATAGTTTTCCCAGATATTGAATTCTTGGCTGACAGGAGTTTTTTTCTTTGAATACTTTAAATGTTATCTCACTGTGTGTTGTTGTTTTTTTTAATTAATTAATTAATTTATTTATTTTATTTTTTTTATTTTTTATTTTTTTATTATACTTTAAGTTTTAGGGTACATGTGCACATTGTGCAGGTTAGTTACATATGTATACATGTGCCATGCTGGTGCGCTGCACCCACTAACTCGTCATCTAGCCTTAGGTATATCTCCCAATGCTATCCATCCCCCCTCCCCCCACCCCACCACAGTCCCCAGAGTGTGATATTCCCCTTCATGTGTCCATGTGATCTCATTGTTCAATTCCCACCTATGAGTGAGAATATGCGGTGTTTGGTTTTTTGTTCTTGCGATAGTTTACTGAGAATGATGATTTCCAATTTCATCCATGTCCCTACAAAGGACATGAACTCATCATTTTTTATGGCTGCATAGTATTCCATAGTGTATATGTGCTCACTGCGTTTTGTCCTCCATTATTTCTACTGAGAAGTAGGCTATTAATCCTATTAAGATTGCTTTTCCAGTAATGAGTCACTTTTCTCTTGCTGTGTTAGAGATTTTCTGCTTGTCTTTCACTTTCAGCATCTTTACTGAGATGTGTCTTTTTATGGATCTTTATATATTTATCCTACTTGATGTTTGTTTAGCTTCCTGGATGTGTAGGTTATTGTTTTTTAATACATTTGGAAAGTTTTTTTTTTTTGGTTTTTTGAATATTTTTCTGCTCCTTTCTCCCATTTCTTTCCTTCTCACATATCCATTAAAGTATGTTGGGATATCTTAATGGGTTTCCCATATTTCTCTAAGGCTTTCTTCATGTTTTGTTATTCTTTTTTCTCTCTGTTTTTTTGACTTTAATAATCTTTATAAACCTAACTTTAAGTCCACTTTGTCTTTCTTTAGCCAGTCCAAATTTATTGTTGTACTTTTGAACCTCTAATGATTTTTAAATTTCAATTATACTCTTATATCCCAAATATTTACATTTTTAATTAATGTTTATGAATATTCTGTAGATCTTGATGCATTATTGTCCTCATACTTTACTTCTTTAATCATGTTTTTCTTTACCTCTGTGAACATGGTAGGTAGTATGGCCACTTTAAAGTTGTTGTTACTGTTTTTCTCATAAATTTCTCTTTCCCTGTTCTCTTGGTTATATATTCTGGTTTCTTTTTATTCTTTTTTTGCATATCTTAGATTTTTTTTTGAAAAGCATACATTTTAGATAATATGTTGTAGGAGCTCTGGGTACTAGTCGACCTCCTCCTTCACTTGTCAATATTGTTTGCTTGTTTACTTGTTTAGTGGCTGATTAGATTACTTTGGTGAAGCTCTCTGCCTTTCTTCTCCCCCTAGTGTTCAGGCTCTGATGTTCTTCAGGAAGTACAGATTTGGTATGCTCAGTTACCCAGGGATGACATTGGCACTAATTGGATTCTTCTCTTTCCCTGACCACAACAAATTGTTAAACTCCATTAATTGCCTGCCGATTATTATATTTTTTCAACAATACCATGAGGCATAAATTGCTCTATAAACTAATCTAACCAGATTTTGGTTCCTTTGAAGTGATAGTTTCTGAGATCACTGTTTGATTTTTGTTGTTACCCCAACAGAACTCCTGCCACATGACACATTCCTTGGTTTTCTCCTGTAATCTAGCTGGCTACAGGTTAGTCTATGTATCATTCAGAGGTCTCTAGAGAAATAGAACCAGTCATAAGTGTATAAAGAAAGAGATTTATTTTAAGACATTTTATATCAAGAAATCAGCTCATGAAATTGTGAAGCATGGCAAGTGCAAAATCTGCAGGGTCAGCCAGTAGGCTGGGAACTTAGAAAACAGTAGATGCTGTGGTTGGAATCTGAAGGCAGTCTGCTAACAGAATTCCCCCCTTCTCAGAAGAGGTTAATCAGTCATTTTCTTAAGGCCTTCAACTGATTGAATGAGGTCCACCCACAATATAGAGGGGAATCTGTTTTTCTCAAAATGTACTGAATTAAATGTTAACCTCATCTAAAATATACTTCTACAGCAATATCCAAACATGTTTGACCAAATGCTTGGGTACTATGTCCTAGCCACATTGCCACATAAAGTTAACCATAACAGCTGGTATTCTGAATCATATTCCAATTGCCTTTCACCACAATCTCTACCATTTTTAAGATTGTTTTCAAGCTTTGGGGGTTGAACCTCTTCATTCTCTTCCAAGTGAAGTCAGTTCTTTTGAAAAAAGAATTGAAGCTATCTATATTACGTCCTATTTCTCTCCCAGCAAAGTCTCTGAACCAGGGATCTGAGGCTGGGAGTGAGGATGTGCCAAGCTTCTCTGTGGGTGATACTCGTGTTTTAGAAGCTCAGTGCTTCATGGGGGGCAGCTGTCTGGGATCCTGTTGTCTCTCCTCTCTTGGCATGAAACCACCAACTCATGATCCAGAAAAGAGTGGTCATGGCCCCAGTGGTCTCAGGTGCTGCACCCAAGTTACAGCCTCTGTTCCATGAGAAAAGGCTAAGCAGAAAAAGGGAGCCCCCGCCCTCAACCTGGGACTTATCTTCAGCAACCAGTAACTAGGGGCAGGATGAAAATGCTGATAGCATGCTCCCCCCAAGAAGCGAGCCCTCCTTGTGGGTGCTGGGGTGAGCAGGAACCTGTGTCCTTGGCTGCAGCAGTCTAGAGTGGAGGATTTGCCTTGCTGGGTTGGGGGGAAGGAGTCCCGCTTAAAATATCACAGATTTCTCACCTTTCTTGCTGAATTCTTATCCATATTTTTGAATAAATGTTTCTTCACTTGCATTTTGGCCTTAGGATCATTTTCCAGAGGATTTAAACAGTTTTTTAAAAATAGTTTTTACTAGTTTCACTGCAGAGCAGGTCAGGAAGGTCTTCACACTCTCATACTGGAAGTTGATCTCCCTTTTTCTTTTTAAAGTATTAATTATTTATAGAAATTTGATAATATAGCAGTATTAATGGCTAATATTTATTGAGTGCCTACTACAGTACATTTGCTAGTCCAGTTAATCTATATTATTTGTTATTATCAAAGTAACCTTACCAAATATTATACATTTATACATACATATATGCATATATATCTGAATGTGTATATAAATGTATGCATATGCATGTGTGTATATATTTATATGTATAATGATGTAATGGTATAGGAATACATATTTTTAAAGAAAAAAACACAATTAAAATAGGGATGGACCTACAAGAAGAAACATTTCTTCTTTTTTCCAATTTTGCCAGAAAAATGTACTGTCTAATAGTTACTGTGTTCAGTTACTTGAAAGATGGCCTTTTTCTTACATTATTAATCTTCATGAAATCCTTCTGGAAGTGACAATTGCAACCAAGCATTTAAAAATCCTGAAAATGCCAGCCAAAGTTGTGCGTGGTGTCCCATCTCTGCCATTAGGACTGTTTTGCCAGCTGCTTGTTGCAGAAACTTAGAAGTTTCTTAACTTCTAAGTGAGCAGCTAAGTTTTAAGATGAGAGAACAGTTGGGAATAATTCAAATGCAGCTTAATTTTTCTTTGGGGGTTGACCAATGCTGTTCTCATCATAGATTCATAGGTGAACTCAATAAGCACAAAAATACAAGCTATTTTTTTTTAAACAAGTGCTTATCTTTATGCAGAGAAGTCTTGCAAATGTCAGCCTGGAGGAAACATTTATTCTGAATATGTGCTCAGAAGGAGGCACTCCTCTGGCTTAGTCACCTCATGTGCTTTCTGCCTGGGATCCACTGAATGCTACAGGACTTAAAGGCTAAGTGATGATTTGCAAGTATCAGTTGGCCCAGCGGAGGGAACTGGGACAGTGGAAGCTGAGAATAGCAGCTTAGTCAAGGTTGAAAGGTAACCTTGGATATAAGGAAAGAACAGACAGGAGCCATAACTAGTTATAAGCTGAAATCTAACAGGAGGAACCATTGCTTCTAGAGTTGTACAGCTGAAGGTATAGTGGGAAAGAGACATAGTGGAAAGAAAAGGGAAGTCAGTTTATAATCGGAATTAGAACACTGGCTACAACTAAATAAAGAGATAAGCAGACATTGAATCCCTGAGAGCCTAACTTAGGCAACCCAGCAGTTTGCCAAAGCTTGGAGTTAACACTGGGATATTGGGGAGAACGTTCTAAAATAAAGAGGGATGGACTGTATATCAGCCTTGGTTTGCAGGTTCGTTAATTTATTTAGCAAATAATTTTTGAACACCTATTGGGTGTCAATACTCTTGTAAGCATGGGGAGACAGATAATGACCAAGACAGAAGGACCTTTTTTTTTTTTCATTCTATAATTGAGGTGGGGGGAGGGAGAAGAGAACAATATAAACAAGGGAAAAAAGTATAGCGATGACATTAAGTACACATAAAAAGACAAACAGAATAAGAGAATGCAGCACTGGGATGGGGTTATAATCAGGGGAATGGCATAATCAGATTTGCATTATTAAAAGTCTAATCTTACTGCTGTGTAGTCAGTTTATTTTAAAGGAGCCAACGGAGACAAATTAAGAGTTTATGGCAGAGATCAGGTGAGAAACAGTGCTGCTCTGAGCTGTAGAGTATAGGCACAGTGTGCAGATGTAGTGTGTAGTGTGTAAGTACAGTGTATGGTGTGTAAGTGTAGCTGTGGAAATGGAAAGCAGGGGTCATTTGGGGGATATTTGGAGATAGAAGCCACGGGGTTTGTTGTTTAACTAGATGGAAAGGTTAAAAAAAAGGAAGAGATCAATGAGAATGCCCATGTTTTTAAATTCGTAAGTGGGGAACATTGTGGTGTCATTAACTGAGATGGAAATGACCGGTTCAATTTATTTCTAGGTCACTGGTATCTGCTTAAAATGGGTTCTGTCCCTCAACTGGGAATGTTACAGATGTAAGGGCAATTAACTAATCATGACCATGTCTTTTTATTTTATCCTCTAGAAATTAGGAAGTGACATTGGTAGACTACCTCAGTGGTGAACATGCATGTGTCTTAGCCTGGGTCTCCAGGAAACAAAGCGTGAGTCAGAGTATTTACTGGAAGACAGAGATAACCAAGGCAATTTTATCTGGGCCAGACACACACAAGGATAAAAATCCATCTGCAGAGTGTGCAGGGGTAAGGCCAACCTTGAAGCTTCACGCTACTATCAATCTTGCCACATTAAGATGGTCTTTATAACCTTGTTACATTATACTCTCCATTTCCCTTCCCCTGACTAATATAATTGCAAATGAAGCTAAATTTTCATAGAAATGCTTTGGATTCCTTTTTGGTCAAATAAGGCAAGTCTCAGCAGCTTAAGTTAGTTTAACTTCGCTTTGCAAGTTAGATGAGCACTTAATGAAAAAAGCGTGGAGATTTCTTTCCAATTACTGGAACACCCTTAATGATCTAGAGATTAGCTATAGATCTGAATTATAATCAAGGGAGGAAAAAATGAGATTGCATTGGAATTTTTTCAAAATTAACCTGAGATTACTTTTTAAAAAATGCGAGCTCAGGGTAAATCACATAGGGTAGAAAAATAAGCTTCAATTATCAGCTAAGAGAAGACTAGGCAATTTGGGTAAATGACCTGAGGAGCAAATAGAGTGAATTCTATACTAAATATGAGTCAGCAATTCAGGAATGTCAAGTCGAAGCATGGCGTCTGGAGAAAGAACTAAAACAGAATAAGCTGTAGGAACCTGAGAAGTTAATAAGACTAGAGTATTCAACTTAAAGCCTTGGAATTTAAAATACAGCACCTCCCAAGAGAAAGGAAGGGGGCCTTATGTAATGAATGCTGAAGTCAGAGGATTTGGTTCTGAGCCAGCTTTGTTACTAATAAGCTATGAAACTTCGGCAATTCACTTAATTTCTTTAAGCCCTAGGTTGCTCATCTATAAGATTTTAATATTGAACCTATGTTCATTGCTCTAAGGAAAAGTTATTTGAAATAAGTTAAAAAGGACTATAAAATATAATACACTCTTAATAGCTCTGTTAGAGGAGATATTACTAAGAAGAAAAATAAAAATATTTAGGACATTAGCAAATGCAATAAAACCAGAAAAGAAGAACTGGCTACCTAATTTTGTGGAACCCAGTGAAAAATGAAAACGTGGGCCCCTTGTTCAAAAAATATTAAGAATTTTAAGATGGCAACAGTAGAGTGAAAAATCAAGCATAGTGACTATCCGGGCATGAGCCCAGTGAGACCACACAGGGTGGGTATCCATGAAGCTGGTTCTGCAGAGAGAGAAGGAATATATGCCGTTCTGCATGTCCCACTGGGGTAGAACTTGTACATTATTGCTCCAACAGTTGTGTTACAGCATAAATTGTAATTTCTCCCTTGGTAGGCTACTGTAACTCTCAATTACCTAGCATCTTTCAGATTCAGGTTTTGAAAGGCATGGCAAGAGCCAATAAAGTGCTGGGAGTTCTGACTCCAATAACTAGAGAAAAAAAAAGTCTTAGAGTATATGTGGCAACTGTCTTAAATATTTGAAAGGTTGCCATAAAGAAGAAAAGACCGGATATTCTTTTTATTCTGGAGGGCATAACTATGAGCAAAGATACCAAATAATATTTTACAATGATCAACATATGAAAGCAATTTCTAGCAAAGACAAATGTCCAATAATTTGACATAAGCAGGTCTCAGTTACCAGAAGTTTTTAAGCAGAGGTAAAAGACCACTTTCCAGGGATGTTGTAGAAGGAATTGTTGCAAGTAAGGGGGGTTAGAATACTTGACTTGTAACTTTAGTATTCTTTATTTCTATCCTAGCTTGGGAAGTAGCCACAATAGAGCTTAAGAATAAGAAAGAATATGAAGACTTGCGGAGGTGAAGAACCAAAGGAGGGGTTAAAGTTGGGGTAGATGTTGATGGCAGAAAATATCTAAATTTTGGATGACAATGTGAACTTACTCAAAATAGTTTTATTTCTCCATCTGAATTAGAAATTGAGACTCAAAGAAAACTAGAATTAAAAGGAACACCAAAATTCATCTAATTCATATAGCTAAAAAGGAATCATGATAGAAGTTAAAATAGTGGTTAGAAACTATTATATCTCTGGAAAAGGCACAGACTGGGAAGGCATGGAGAACTCCCGGGGTGTTGGAAATATTTCACACAATGCTTCTCGACTTAAGATGGGCCTAAGTCCTGATAAACTCATAGTAAGTTGAAAATGCATGTAATATGCCTAACCTCTCAAACACCATAGGTTAGTCTAGTCTGCTTTCAGTAAGCTCAGAACATTTAAATTAGCCTACGATTGGACAAAAATTAGCTAACACAAAGCCTGTTTTATAATCAAGTGTTGAAAAGTTCATGCAATTTATTGAATAATTCATCACATATTGCAATAAGTGTTCCACATTCAAACCATCATTAAGTCAAAAAATCGTTAAGTCAAACCATCCTAAGTCGGGGACTATCTAACGTGTCTTGACCTGAATGATGTTCACACAAGCATATACATAAGTAAAAAATCAAGATATACACCTAACATTAGTATACTTTATGCACTTATATGTTATGCCTCAATTTTTAAAAAAAGTAAAATATCGTCAGAATCTCTGTCTGGGATGAGGTCTAAAGTCCTCATGTTTCACAAGTTCTCTAGCTGATTCTTATACAAACTCAAATTTGTGAACCACATCAATTTACAAACAAATAGAAGAAATCCCAGAGAAGTAAATCAATTTTCCAAAGTCTATTCTGCTAGATAATGAAGCTTTCAAAGCCAGGACTTCTAGGAATTAAAATAAATAATCCTTATAATAAACCATGAGAGTAGTCATTGTCACTGCCAAGCGTACAGACTGATCCAAGATGACACTGCAGGTTAAGGGCAGATTGAGACCAAACAGACCCTTTGGCCTTTAAAAAGGGAGTTCACCTAAAACTCAAAAGGCCTAAAAAAGCTGGATTAAGACTATTCAACTTTATTTTCTAGGTAATTTAAAGTCATTGAAAGTTTTTGAAGGGAGCAAGTTACAATTACAGCCAGGCCTTAAGAATAAAAGTGATAAATAAGTAGATTAGATCAGATGTATAAGAATTCAGAGTGACTAGAAGACCAGTCCTAAATTAGTATAGGAGTGGTATAAATGAAGATAAATGTGCAGCTATAAAAGTTTAGAGGTAGAGGGTGGGAGGAAAGGGGAGGGAGAGCATTAAGACAAATACCTAATGCATGAGGGGCTTAAAACATAGATGATGGGTTGATAGGTGCAGCGAACCACCATGGCACATGTATACCTATGTAACAAACCTGCACATTCCACACATGTATCCCAGAACTTAAAGTAAAATTAAAAAAAAAAAAAGGAAAAGAAAGTTTAGAGGTAGAATCAGTGACAGTAATAGTAATAATTAGTAACATTTATTGCCAGAGGCATTTATTTTATAATTTGGCTCTGGGTACTGTTCCCACATTTTATAGACGAGGAAACTAAAGCAAAGGGAGAGGACAAATAACATGTCAAGACATAGCTAGCAAGTGGCAAACCTAGATTTGAACCCAGATCTGTTTGGCTGCAACTGCTATGTTATAATAAAGAGAAGGGTAAGAAGAAAGTCAAAGATGACACAGTTTGGGTCACTGGGTGACAATGAACTGGCACTATCATTAAAAGATAGGATGTACTGAAGAAAGAACAGATTTGATGGCAAATAGGATGAGTTCAATCTATTTGCTTTAACTGTGAGGGTCATTAATTTCTAATAAGTTCCTACATTAGCGTGTGTTACAACATCACTGAACAAAGGAGAAAGGGACAAAGCAGTGCTTTAGTAGCTGATATTTTAAAACCAGCTTTACAATGCTTTTGCAAATAACTAGTTTCATTAAAATGTATTTAGCTATAAAATTCTGCTGGAATGCTAATATGCCTTCTGCAAAGAAGTTATAGGTATTACTATAAGCTTCCATTTATTTTTCACATTCCACAACCAGGTTCACCTTCCATTTGGAGCATAGACTTCAGAATGTGATGCTACCACACACATGTATTTGTTGCATATACCAATTCAATGCACCTGACCAAGATTAGAAAGATATCACTGTGGTATCAACTGTATTGTGTCCTCCCCAAAATTGATATGTTAAAGCTTTAACTCCCCAGTATCTCAGAATGTGACTGTATTTAGAGATAGGGTCTTTAAAGAGTTAAAGTTAAAATGAGGTCATTAGGGTGGGCCCTAATCAAATGTGATTGGTGTCCTGATAAGAAGAGATTAGAATACAGATGAAAGACTATGTGAAGACACAAGGAGGAGACAGCCATCTGCAAGCCAACAAGAGAAACCGAAGAAGAAATCAACCCTGCCAACACCTTGACCTTGGACTTTCAGCCTTCAGAACTGTGAGATAATAAATTTCTGTTGTTTAAAACACCAAGTCAGGCTGGGCACAGTGGCTCATGCCTGTAATCCCAGCACTTTGGGAGGCTGAGGAGGGCAGATCATGAGGTCAAGGATCGAGACCAGCCTGGCCAACATGGTGAAACCCCATCTCTACTAAAAATACAAAAAATTAGCTGGGTGTGGTGGCATGCACCTGTAATCCCAGCTACTCAGAAGGCTGAGGCAGGAGAATCGCTTGAACCCAGGAGGCAGAGGTTGCGGTGAGTGGAGATCATGCCATTGCACTCCAGCTTGGGTGACAGAGCAAGACTCTGTCTCAAAAAAAGACACCCAGGATAGTGGAGCCAAGATGGCCGAATAGGAACAGCTCCATTCTACAGCTCCCAGCGTGAGCGACACAGAAGACGGGTGATTTCTGCATTTCCAACTGAGGTACCAGGTTCATCTCACTGGGGAGTGCCAGAGAGTGGGTGCAGGACAGTGGGTGCAGTGCACCGTGCGTGAGCCGAAGCAGGGTGAGGCATCGCCTCACCCGGGAAGCTCAAGGGGTCAGGGAATTCCCTTTCCTAGTCAAAGAAAGGGGTGACAGACGGCACCTGGAAAATTGGGTCACTCCCACCCTAATACACCAGACTTCCAACAGGCTTAACAAATGGCACACCAGGAGATTATATCCCGCACATGGCTCAGAGGGTCCTATGCCCACGGAGCCTCACTCATTGCTAGCACAGCAGTCTGAGATCAAACTGCAAGGCGGCAGCAAGGCTGAGGTGGGGGCGCCTGCCATTGCTCAGGCTTGAGTAGGTAAACAAAGCAGCCAGTTAGCTCGAACTGGGTGGTGCCCACCACAGCTCAAGGAGGCCTGCCTGCCTCTGTAGGCTCCACCTCTGGGGGCAGGGCACAGACAAACAAAAGACAGCAATAACCTCTGCAGTCTTAAATGTCCCTGTCTGACAGCTCTGAAGAGAGTAGTGGTTCTCCCAGCATGCAGCTTGAGATCTGAGAACAGGCAGACTGCCTCCTCAAGTAGGCCCCTGACCCCCGAGTAGCCTAACTGGGGGGCACCCCCCAATAGGGACAGACTTGACACTTCACATGGCCGGGTAGTCCTCTGAGACAAAACTTCCAGAAGAACGATCAGACAGCAGCATTTGTGGTTCACCAATATCCGCTTTTCTGCAGCCACCACTGCTGATACCCAGGCAAATAGGGTCTGGAATGGACCTCCAGTAAACTCCAACAGACCTGCAGCTGAGGGTCCTGACTCTTAGAAGGAAAACTAACAAACAAACAGAAAGAACATCTACACCAAAAACCCATCTGTACGTCACCATCATCAAAGACCAAAGGTAGATAAAACCACTAAGATGGGAAAAAAACAGAGCAGAAAAACTGGAAACTCTAAAAATCAGAGCGCCTCTCCTCCTCCAAAGGAATGCAGCTCCTCACCAGCAATGGAACAAAGCTGGACAGAGAATGACTTTGACGAGTTGAGAGAGGAAGGCTTCAGAAGATCAAACTACTCCGAGCTAAAGGAGGAAGTTTAAACCAATCGCAAAGAAGTTAAAAACTTGGAAAAAAAATTAGACAAATGGATAACTAGAATAACCAATGCAGACAAGTCCTTAAAGGACCTGATGGAGCTGAAAACCATGGCACAAGAACTACATGACAAACGCACAAGCCTCAGTAACCGAAGCGATCAACTGGAAGAAAGGGTATCAGTGATGGAAGACAAAATGAATGAAATGAAACATGAAGAGAAGTTTAGAGAAAAAAGAATAAAAAGAAACAAAGTCTCCAAGAAATATGGAACTATGTGAAAAGACCAAATCTACATCTAATTGGTGTACCTGAAAGTGACGGAGAGAATGGAACCAAGTTGGAAAACACTCTGCAGGATATTATCCAGGAGAACTTCCCCAATCTAGCAAGGCAGGCCAACATTCAAATTCAGGAAATACAGAGAACGCCACAAAGATACTCCTCGAGAAGAGCAACTCCAAGACACATAATTGTCAGATTCTCCAAAGTTGAAATGAAGGAAAAATGTTAAGGGCAGCCAGAGAGAAAGGTTGGGTTACCCACAAAGGGAAGCCCATCAGACTAACAGCTGATCTCTTGGCAGAAACTCTACAAGCCAGAAGGGAGTGGGGTCCAATATTCAACATTCTTAAAGAAAAGAATTTTCAACCCAGAATTTCATATCCAGCCAAACTGAGCTTCATAAGTGAAGGAGAAATAAAATCCTTTACAGACAAGCAAATGCTGAGAGATTTTGTCACCACCAGGCCTGCCCTAAAAGAGCTCCTGAAGGAAGCACTAAACATGGAAAAGAACAACCGGTACCAGCCACTGCAAAAACATGCCAAATTGTAAACACCATTGAGGCTAGGAAGAAACTGCATCAACTAACAAGCAAAATAACCAGCTCACATCATAATGACAGGATCAAATTCACACATAACAATACTAACCTTAAATGTAAATGGGCTAACTGCTCCAATTAAAAGACACAGACTGGCAAATTGGATAAAGAGTCAAGACCCATCAGTGTGCTGTATTCTGAAAACCCATCTCAAGTGCAGAGACACACATAGGCTCAAAATAAAGGGATGGAGGAAGATCTACCAAGCAAATGGAAAAGAAAAAAAGGCAGGCATTGCAATCCTAGTCTCGGATAAAACAGACTTTAAACCAACAAAGATCAAAAGAGACAAAGAAGGCCATTACATAATGGTAAAGGGATCAATTCAACTACAAGAACTAACTATCCTAAATATATATGCACCCAATACAGGAGGACCCAGATTCATAAAGCAAGTCCTTAGTGACCTACAAAGAGACTTAGACTCCCACACAATAATAACGGGAGACTTTAACACCCCACTGTCAACATTAGACAGATCAATGAGACAGAAAGTTAATAAGGATATCCAGGAATTGAACTCAGCTCTGCAACAAGTGGACCTAATAGACATCTACAGAATTCTCCACCCCAAATTAACAGAATATACATTCTTTTCAGTACCACACCACACCTATTCCAAAATTGACCACATAGTTGGATGTAAAACACTCCTCAGCAAATGTAAAAGAACAGAAATTATAACAAACTGTCTCTCAGACCACAGTGCAATCAAACTAGAACTCAGGATTAAGAAACTCACTCAAAACCGCTCAACTACATGGAAAATGAACAACCTCCTCCTGAATGACTACTGGGTACATAACAAAATGAAGGCAGAAATAAAGATGTTCTTTGAAACTAACAAGAACAAAGACACAACATACCAGAATCTCTGGGACACATTCAAAGCAGTGTGTAGGGGGAAATTTATAGCAGTAAATGCCCACAAGAGAAAGCAGGAAAGATCTGAAATTGACACCCTAACAGCACAATTAAAAGAACTAGAGAAACAAGAGCAAACACATTCAAAAGCTAGCAGAAGGCAAGAAATAACTAAGATCAGAGCAGAACTGAAGGAAATAGAGACACAAAAAACCCTTCAAAAAATCAATGAATCCAGGAGCTGGTTTTTTGGAAAAGATCAACAAAATTGATAGACCGCTACAAGACTAATAAAGAAGAAAAGAGAGAACAATCACATAGATGCAATAAAAAATGATAAAGGGGATATCACCACTGATCCCACAGAAATACAAACTATCATCAGAAAATACTACAAACACCTCTACGCAAATGAAGTAGAAAATCTAGAAGAAATGGATAAAATCCTCGACGCATACATCCTCCCAAGACTAAACCAGGAAGAACGTGAATCTCTGAATAGACCAATAACAGGCTCTGAAATTGAGGCAATAATCAATAGGTTACCAACCAAAAAAACTCCAGGACCAGATGGATTCACAGCCGAATTCTACCATAGGTACAAGGAGGAGCTGGTACCATTCCTTCTGCAACTATTCCAATCAATAGAAAAAGAGGGAATCCTCCCTAACTCATCTTATGAGGCCAGCATCATCCTGATACCAAAGCCTAGCAGAGACACAACCAAAAAAGAGAATTTTAGACCAATATCCTTGATGAACATTGATGCAAAAATCCTCAATGAAATACTGGCAAACTGAATCCAGCAACATATCAAAAAGCTTATCCACCATGATCAAGTGGGCTTCATCCCTGGGATGCAAGGCTGTTTCAACACACAAAAATCAATAAACGTAATCCAGCATATAAACAGAACCAACGATAAAAACCACATGATTATCTCAATAGATGCAGAAAAGGCCTTTGACAAAATTCAACAACTCTTCATGCTAAAAACTCTCAATAAATTAGGTATTGATGGGACGTATCTCAAAATAATAAGAGCTATCTATGACAAACCCACAGACAATATCATACTGAATGGACAAAAACTGGAAGCATTCCCTTTGAATACTGGCACAAGACAGGGATGCCCTCTCTCACCACTCCTATTCAACATAGCATTGGAAGTTCTGGCCAGGGCAATCAGGCAGGATAAGGAAATAAAGGGCATTCAATTAGGAAAAGAGGAAGTCAAATTGTCCCTGTTTGCAGATGACATGATTGTATATCTAGAAAACCCCATCGTCTCAGCCCAACATCTCCTTAAGCTGATAAGCAACTTCAGCAAAGTCTCAGGATACAAAATCAATGTGCAAAAATCACAAGCATTCTTATACACCAATAACAGACAAACAGAGAGCCAAATCATGAGTGAACTCCCATTCACAATTGCTTCAAAGAGAATAAAATACCTAGGAATCCAACTTACAAGGGATGTGAAGGTCCTCTTCGGGGAGAACTACAAACCACTGCTCAAGGAAATAAAAGAGGATACAAACAAATGGAAGAACATTCCATGCTCATGGGTAGGAAGAATCAATATCGTGAAAATGGCCATACTGCCCAAGGTAATTTATAGATTCAATGCCATCCCCATCAAGCTACCAATGACTTTCTTCACAGAATTGGAAAAAACTACTTTAAAGTTCATATGGAACCAAAAAAGAGCCCGCATCACCAAGTCAATCCTAAGCCAAAAGAACGAAGCTGGAGGCATCACGCTACATGATTTCAAACTATACTACAAGGCTACAGGAACCAAAACAGCATGGTAATGGTTCCAAAACAGAGATATAGACCAATGGAATAGAACAGAGCCCTCAGAAATAATGCCGCATATCTACAACTATCTGATCTTTGACAAACCTGACAAAAACAAGAAATGGGGAAAGGATTCCCTATTTAATAAATGGTGCTGGGAAAACTGGCTAGCCATATGTAGAAATCTGAAACTGGATCCCTTCCTTACACCTTATACAAAAATTAATTCAAGATGGATTAAAGACTTACATGTTAGACCTAAAACCAGAAAAACCCTAGAAGAAAACCTAGGCAATACCATTCAGGGCATAGGCATGGGCAAGGACTTCATGTCTAAAACACCAAAAGCAATGGCAACAAAAGCCAAAATTGACAAATGGGATCTAATTAAACTAAAGAGCTTCTGCACAGCAAAAGAAACCACCATCAGAGTGAATAGGCAACCTACTGAATGGGAGAAAATTTTTGCAACCTACTCATCTGACAAAGGGCTAATATCCAGAATCTACAATGAACTCAAACAAATTTACAAGAAACAAACAACCCCATCAAAAAGTGGGCAAAGGATATGAACAGACACTTCTCAAAAGAAGACATTTATGGAGCCAAAAAACACATGAAAAAATGCTCATCATCACTGGCCATCAGAGAAATGTAAATCAAAACCACAATGAGATACCATCTCACACCAGTTAGAATGGCGATCATTAAAAAGTCAGGAAACAACAGGTGCTGGAGAGGATGTGGAGAAATAGGAACACTTTTACACTGTTGGTGGGACTGTAAACTAGTTCAACTATTGTGGAAGTCAGTGTGGCGATTCCTCAGGGATCTAGAACTAGAAATACCATTTGACCCAGCCATCCCATTACTGGGTATATACCCAAAGGATTATAAATCATGCTGCTATAAAGGCACATGCACAGGTATGTTTATTGAGGCACTATTCACAATAGCAAAGACTTGGAACCAAGCCAAGTGTCCAACAATGACAGACTGGATTAAGAAAATGTGGCACATATACACCGTGGGATACTATGCAGCCATAAGAAAGGATGAGTTCATGTCCTTTGTAGGGACATGGATGAAGCTGGAAACCATCATTCTCAGCAAACTATCCCAAGGACAAAAAACCAAACACCGCATGTTCTCACTCATAGGTGGGAATTGAACAATGAGAACACATGGACACAGGAAGGGGAACATCACACACCGGGGACTGTTGTGGGGTGGGGGGAGGGGGAAGGGATAGCATTAGGAGATATACCTAATGCTAAATGACGAGTTAATGGGTGCAGCACACCAAAATGGCAGAAGTATACATATGTAACAAACCTGCACGTTGTGCACATGTATCCTAAAACTTAAAGAATAATAATAATACAAAAAAGTGACACCCAGTCTGTGGTACTTTGTTATGACAGCCCTAATAGACTAATACATACTGCATATTCACATTACCATCCAGGAATTATGATTACCATTGGCTAATATTGTAGTGATTTGTGCAACATTAATAGGATTAGTAAGGGTCACTATAAAATGATTATAAAATTTGTGTGAATAGCATCTGAGATCTTGGTAAAATTATCCTCGGGCTCTTATTTATTGAATTAACTAACTACCTATCTCTCCTTCACTGTAGTCCCATTCTCTTCATTGAAGGGACCTCTTCTATTACACATAATGAGTGCAGATGTGAGTGTGGGAAACACTATTTGTACTCTGCTCTTGTGATGCCACATGAGGTAGAGTTCTGCTGGTGCATGGCCTCAACTTTCTGTCTACCATATCACAGTGGCAGGGATCTTCTATACTTGAGCTCCTTTTTGTAAATTATCAGCTAGAAGACAGCCCTAGAAGTTGATGAATCCTCTTTCTGAAAAGGTGGGGTAAAGCAACACAATATGTGGAACTGGGAACATCAGTGTGAATTTGATTCCCACTTGATTCCATGACCTGGCCACGAAAATATCAGAATGGTTCTAGAGTTATTGCATTAGTGCCAGAAAACAGAAATGCTTTTCAAAATATCAAGAGCAATGTCAAAAGCACAAAGTTTAACAAGTTTAGCATTAAGCAAAGTAAAAACAGATTTCTTTACACATTCAGATTCTCAGACATTAATAGGAAAATCAGCACAAATGAATGGACAATGATTTATAAGCCAATCTCATGGGAAATAGGTATTTCCCCACTATAATGTTCACGAAGCTATAGAAGGATGAAACAATGAAAAACCAATGAGGCTGATAATGAAAATCAGCAGATCAAAGTTTTGCTCCAGTTTATATCAGCACCTCCAGAGCAGATGTCATTGTTAAAGTCAGAAAAGCCTTATCATAGTGTTCTTCTTTGGAAAGTAGTTGCTATAAAAAAGAAAACATTTACTGTTAATTTACTTGAAGATTAATGTATGCTTTTATGTAATTTTTATTGTTTTTCATTAAAAATACATTTATTACTTCAATTAAAAAGTAGGGAGGCAATTGCTTCCTAAGGTTATATATCAGAACCAAAGTGTAATCACTAAAAATAACCATTTTAATTTTTGATTCCATGGTATATATTTTCTTTTTAATTAAAATATAATACAGATGTAAAAATGCACAAATCAAAGGACACAGATTGATGAATTATTCACAGTAAACATACCTGTGTAATCACCACTCAGGTCAAGAAATGTAATATATACAGCACCCAAGCAGTCCCTCTCAACATCTAAGCTTCTCTATACCTCAAAAATAATTTTCTATGCTGATTTCTAATGCAATTTTGAAGCTTACATAAAGGGAATTATAAAGTATGTAATCTTGTGTATCTGTCATCTTTTAGTCAACACTTTGTGAGATTCATTTATACTGTTAAATAAAACTGTTCATCTTCATTATATAATATTTCATTGTATAAATATATAAAAAGTATTCTACAGTTGGTCTTTTTAAGTTTTATCATTTTGTTGCTGTTATTATCAATGTTGCACATCTACTTATTAGATAGCACAAACGTGCATACATTTCTATTGGACATATACTTAGGAATGAAACTGTTGGGACATAGGTTATAAATCTATTCATGTAGTAGTTAACACTAAACAGCTTGACAAAGTGGTTAAAATATATATTCTCATCAGCAACGCATGGGATTTCTAGTTGTTCCGTATCAACATCTGCCTTTGTATTCCTGGGATAAACCCCACTGGGCCAAAACATATTGCTGTTTTTATATATTGCTAGATTCAATAAACTAATATTTGGTTAAAGATTTTTGCATCTATATAAATGAGGGATTTTGGTTAGTAATATTATTTTCTTGTATTTATCTGGTTTTGGTTTCAGAACTATTCTCGCCTTACACAATGAGTTGGATAGTGGGCTCTCTTCCTGTTTCTGATTTAAGTTTCTGTGTCTGTTTAACATTGATATTGGTTTTTGTTTGAATAATTGTTAAAATGCACTAATGAAGTTTACTAGGCCTGGAATTTTCCTTGTAGATTCTAATTACAAATTCAATTTTATTAATAGGACTATTGAGAAGTTTTTATGCCTTCTTGTTTTCACATTGGTAATTTATATCTTTTAAGAAATTCTTTCATCTAAATGCTTGAATTTACTGGCATAAAGTTGTTCATAATATCCCCTTTTTTAAAAAAAAATTCATAGTTTCTATGGTGGTTTGCTTTTTTTCATCCTTAATATTGGTATTTTGGGTTTTATCTCTTGTTTACTTAATCTAGTTGTTTTCAGAAAACAAAATTTTAGTTGTATTTATTTTCTTTTCTCTATTTTCTGTTTCTTTGGTGTCTATTCTTGTCATTTTCTTTCTTCTATGTTCTTTGCTCTTTGTTTCTTAGCTCAAGATATAAAATTTAGAAGATTTATTTTAAAATACTTCTTTTTTGTAATGTCAACATTTAAAGCTATATAGTTAAATGCTCTAGCTGTACCCCAAAGATTTGATATAATATGCTTTTGACATCCAATACAAAATACTTTCCAATTTCCCTTATAACTTCTTTTTTGTCTCATGAGATATTTAAATGTATGTTGCTTAATTTCCAGATAATTGGTTTTCTCTAGTTATGTTTTTATTATCAGTCTCCAATTTAATTTCTTAGTAGTTAGAGAAAATATTTTGTATGGTTTTTATCATTTGTAATTTATTGAGCTATGTTTTAGGAGCCATTATATAGCGAATCTTGGTGAATATGTTTTGTGAATTTGAAAAGGGTTCTGCTATTCTTAGGTGGAATGTTTTACAGATATCAATTAGATCAATTTGGTTGATGGTACAGTTTAGTTCTTCTATATCCATACCAACTTCTATTCTGTATTGAGAGATGAATGCTGGAATCTCCAACTAGAATAATTGATTTGTTTATTTATCGCTTTAGCTCTAACAGTTTTTGCTTTATCTATTTTGAAGCTCTGTTTTTTACCTATACTTTTAGTATTTTTATGTCTTTGAGGAATTAACATTTTCTAATTATGAAATCTCCCTTTTTCTCTCGGTTAATACTCATTGTCTTGAAGTCTACACTATCAGATAAAATAGCCACCCCTAATTTTTTATAGTGTATCATACATGTCTTTTTCTTCCTTTTAACCTATCTCCATCATGTCTTTTTCTTCCTTTTAACCTATCTCCATCTTTATATCTAAATGACATTTCTTATGTATAGTATAAGGTTAACGCTTGCTTTTTACCTAACCTGATAATTTCTCCATTTTAACTAAAGTGTTTAGTCATTTATGCAACTCTAGTTCTTTAAAAAATTAATTTTTATAACTACTGAGCTGAAGTGTACAATTATACAATTTTTTATTTGTCATTTTTGTAATTTGTTCCTTTTTAAATTCTTTTCCAGCCTTTTTGGAGAGCAATTGAATTTCTTTTAGCTTTTCATTTTATCTTTTCTATTGGTTTTCGGTTATTGCTCTAATTTTTTTAAGTGGTTGCTCTAAGGATTGTAATATGCATCCTTAATTTCTGACTTTCAGCCCTGAATTACCACTATAATGGTAATTCACTTCATGTATAATGTAAGAAACTTGCAACAATATGCTTCCATTTGCGCACTCCACCCTTTGTGCTATTGTTGTTGCATATTTAACTTGTACGTATGTTATATTTCATTTGGCATTTTCCTTACAAACTAAAAAAAAAGAAAAAAGAAAAATCCCTCTACCATTTCTTAGAACATAGGTTTACTACTAACAAATTCTCTCAGATTTTGTTTGTCTGAAAATGTTTTTATTTTGCCTTCATTTTTAAAGGAATTTTTGATAGATACAAAATTCTAGTTTGACAGTTTTGTTCTTCTTTCAGCACTTTAGAGATGTCTTTCTGTTGTCTTCTGGCTTGCATTTTTTCTAATGAGAAGTTAGTTTCTATTCTTACCCTTGTGACCCTGTATATAATGTGTCTTTTTTTCACTGACTGCTTTTCAGATTTCTTCTTTGCCTTTCAGCCATTTGAAGATGATATGCTAGATGTGGTTTTCTTTGTGTTTATCCTGCTTGGGTTATGAGTACCTTTGATCTCCACATAGATATTTATCACTGAATTTTTGGAAAGTAAGTTGGCTGTGTTTCTGAAAATACTTTTCTGTTCCAATATCTCTCTCTTCTTCTTTTGAGACTCCAATTACACATATGTTATAATGGTCTTACATTATTCTTCAAACAACTAATAGGTTGTTCATTTATTTTAGTCTGTTTTCTCTCTGTGCTTCAGTCTGGATAGTTTCTATTGCCCTGTCTTTAAATTGACTGACTGTTTTGTCTGAAGTCTCCATTGTACTGTTGACCATCAAGTCAATTTTTTATTTCATATATTGACCTTTCCAGTTCAGAATTTCCAGTTAGTAGTATTTTATAGTTAATATTTCTCTGCTGAGATTCCCTCATCTCTTTAGTTATTATGTCTTTCACTTTAAATGCTAAAACAGAGTCTTTGAGGTCCTGTGGTTACTTAAAGAACTCAGGAACCTCGATGGTAAACTTTTTAATTTCCATATGGCCAGCTGCTCAGCATGATATTCAGGTCATGGGCTCCTTTTATGAAACATCTAATTCTCTTAAAAACTGTATGAAGGTGAAATTCACATACCATGAAATTAACCATTTTAATGGCAACTCAATGGCATTGAAGACAATCAAAATGGTATACAACCATCACCTCTGTATAATTCCAATATATTTTTATTACTCCAAAATAAAACTCTTTACCCATTAAACAGATTCTCCCTATTCCTTCTATATCCCCCAGAAACCACAAAACTGTGTTCTGTCTCTAAAGATTTATCTCTTCTGGATATTTCATGTAAATGGCATCATATATATGTGATCTGTCTGGCTTATTTTCACTTAGCATAATGTTTGAAGATACATCACATTGTGAAATGTATCAGTACTTCATTAAATTTATGGTTGAATAATATTTCAACCATAATGAATTAATGAACAGCGCGCTTATCCATTCATCTGTTAATGGACATTTGGATTACTTTCACCTTTTCACTTGTGAATAATGCTGCTATTAATATGTATGTACAAATACTTGTTTGAAAGCCTGTTTTCAATTCTTTTGGATATATTCCAAGGGGTAGAATTGTAGGATTAGGTGGTAATTTTATGTTTAACTTATTGAGGAACTTCCAAACTGTTTTCCACAGTGGCTGAAAAATTTTACATTCTCACAGCAATATATGAGGATTCCAAATTCTTTATAGCCTTGCTAACATTTGGTATTTTCCTTTAAAAAAAAATTTAGGCATACTAGTGGGAAGAAAGTGGTACTTCATTGTGGTTTTGATTTATATTTGAATAATGATTAATGATGTTGAGCATCTTTTCAAGGGGCTTGTTGGCTATTTGTTTATCTTTGCAGAAATGTCTACTCAAGTTTTCTGCCCTTTTTAAATAGAATTGTTTGTCATATTGTTGTTGAGTTGTGAGTGTTCTTTATATGTTCTGGATAATAGAACCCTACCAAATATATAATTTGCAAATATTTTTCCCATTTTGTAGGATTTTTTCTCTATCAATAAGTTTTTTTGATATACAAAAGTTTAAAATTTTGATTAAGTCCAATTTACCTAATTTTTCTCTGTTGCCCATGTTTTTGACATCATATCTAGAAACCACTGCCAAATACTAGACCATAAAATTTTTCCTTCATGGTTTTTGCTTTTATTTGTCGGTCATTGATCAATTTTGAGTTAATTACTTTAATGTGGTGTAAGGTAGGGTTTCAATTTCATTTTTTTTCCATATGGATATCCAGATGTCCCACACAATTTTTTGATAAGAGTATTCCTTATCTTTTGAATGGTTTGGCATCCTTGTTGAAATCAATTGGCCATAAGCATAAGGATTTATTTCTATACTCTCAGTTGTATTCCACTGGTTTATATGTCTGTCCTTATGCCAGTACCATACTGTTTTGATTAATATTGGTTTATAGTAAGTTATAGTAGGAAATATAAGTCCTCCAAATTTGTTATTTTTCAACTTGATTTTGGCTCTTCAGTATCCCTGGCAATTCCACAACTATTTGAGAATCAGCATTTCTGTTTCTGCAAAGAAGTCTGCTAGAATTTGTATAGGGATTAGATTGAATCTGAAGATCACTTTGGACTGCCCAAACTAACATCTTAAGAAAAAAAAAAAGACTGGGCCTGGTTGCTCATGCCTATAATCCCAGCACTTTGAGAGCCCAAAATGGGCAGATCACTTGAGGTCAGGAGTTCAAGACCAGCCGGGCCAACATGGCACCCGTCTCTATTAAAAATACAAAAATTAGCTGGGTGTGGGTGTGGTGGTACATGCCTGTAATCCCAGCTCCTCGGGAGGCTGAGGCATGAGAATCTCTTGAACCTGGGAGGCAGAAGTTACAGCAAGCTGAGATTGGACCACTGTGCTCCAGCCTGGGTGACAGAGCTAGACTCTGTCTCAAAATAAATAAATAAATAAAAAGAAAAAAAGAAAAAAGAAAAAAAAAGTTGACATCTTAAGAAAATTGTCTTCCAATTCATAACACAGGATGTCTTCCCAATTTATTAGGTTTTAATTTCTTTCAGCAATGTCTTATACTTTTCATTGTATAAATCTTTCTCCTCATTGCTTAAATTTATTCCTAGAATTTAATTTTTGACTATTATTATAAATTGATTTGTTTTCTTAATTTTATTATCAGATTTCTCATTGTTGATATATATAAATAACTTACTTTTGCATGTTTAACTTGTACCCTGCAATTTTGTTAAATTCATTAATTAGATCTGATAGCTTTTCTTGTGGATTGTTTGAAATTTTTTTATATATAGGATTATGTCATTTGTGAATAGAGAGTTTTACATCCTTTGCACGTTGGACACCTTTTATTTCTTTTTCCTGCCTAATTACTCTGGCTAGAATTTCTAGTACAATGTTGAATACCAGCAATTAACATGGGCATTTTCTAATCTGAGGTGGAAAAATTCAGTTTTTGTTTTTTAGCATTGATGTTAGCTATGGATTTCTCACAAATGCCCAGTTGTCCATTTGATTAGCAATGTTTTAAATCTATTTTTTGCAAAGGCTCCATTCCTTCTCATGTGTCATCAGTAAAAGGCCTTTTTCTTTAGCTTGTATTCAGGAAATGTTTTGGCAGAGATTCCCTTGAACATCAGTACTTAGTCCATTTACAACTCTGCTTTAGCCATAGCTTTCTGCTTGTATTGAGCCTAGAGATCAACCAAAGATGAAAGCTGAGGGTTTTCTCAGGTCCTTTCTGACCAAGCATCCAATCCTAGGCAGGTATGTGGCTTTGTACATTCTCCAATACACATGGATACATTTAAATGCCCTAATTTTCCGAAGAAACTCTCTTCTCAGATTTTACTCCCAGACTTCAGGCTATAGATTTTATATCTCAACAATAATGTATTGTCCCAGGTTGTGACAGGTTTTTCATTTGCCATATAATGTTTTTTGTGCAGTGAACCTGGCTTTTCTGCCATTAACTGAGTTCCAAGTTAAGCAAAACAAAACAAGTCCTTTGTGTCAATCCTTCAGGCAGTCCACAGTTTAGAACAAATAAATGCAATCATTTACATCACTCCCTTCTAAGTTAAAGAAGCCATAGAAACGCCTTATTCAAGAATATCAGACAGTCGATACCAATACCTGAGACCTCTCCCCAATATAATAGCTGAAACCATTTATCACACAGCTAAAATCTGACTTTATTTAGCTCTAATGTTTTATATTTAAAATGCCCGCTTAACATCATGTATCCATATATGTCCTCAATGATGTTACCTATATACTGTAACTGCACTCATTCTGCACTCATGTTCTTGTTCCTATCCTCACTACACAAGAATTCAGTGCATTACACCTTTAAGAAAACATAATCATCACTTTATTTTTATTCGATCACCCATCTTATTTCTACAGGTCTTTACAGAGAGGGTGAGTCTTATTTTCAAAATATGTGAGCAGAAATGTCTCTTAAAATAAAGTTTTATCTGTGCAGCTCTTCCTGTAAGCATTATTTTAAAACTGTAATTTGGTAGAAAAATTTCTACAGAATGAGGTGGATCTAGACTTGTCATGCTGGTTCCCAAGCTCCTTTTGTGATTATCTACTTTTGGCACCTTTCCAAGGATCACACTGAGACATCTTATGTGGTTTATAATGTGTTTATAGTTTTAATGTTTAATGAGCTTAGCCATGGGGACCTCCTAGAAAATGAAGATCTCATTTAGGGCATTAATTGCTTCCTGCTTTAAGAACTCAAGAAAACGTCCCTTCTGCCAGTTTTCTCCTCAGTTCACTTCACCTAATTTGTTCAGCAAAAGTTTATGTGCAAATATTGTGTCCAAATCACCCTGACGGAGGGGCAGTACACAATCTGGAAATAATAGAGAATTAATCTAATTGTTGGAGTATTAAAATGGCCATAACCACCTAAGGTGAGAGAATTAGTTTCAATAACTACTGTGACTAGAGATCAAATGATAATACAAGCTCATAAAAGAGAAAAAAGCAGCATCAATTTATTTCTGCTGCATTAGTACAGTGAAAATAAATACCACAGAGTAAGAGAGATATACTTTAAACAGAGGTAATTTGGCCCACCCACCTAACATGAGGATAAATGCCAGCCTAAGAGCCCTAACAGAATAAATTTTGAGGGGCTGGAGATTCCATGTTTGTAGTGAGTTCTAGAGTTAAAGCTTAATGCCATTAAAGTTGTACTTGCTGCTTATATTTCTTTGTACCTTTCCATGCAGGTGTGACCCTAGTGGAAAGGTTAGATGAAAGTGAAAACAATCTTATTACAACTTCCCATCTATTGGTTTCAATTCTACGTTTGAAGCTTCCACCTAGAAAAATGTTATCCGTAGATAAAACTTCAGCCCTGAAATGTTTGAAGTCAGCTGGCATGTCCCAGCCCCCTCTTTTTTCTCTTTCTTCAAAACAAAAGAAGTCTTGTGTGTTGTGAGATAAGTGATCTGTAGGTATGGAGGGAAAAAGCAGTCTCAATTCCTGGCTATCAGGTACCTCAAATATATAGAGGGGAAGCACTAGCATGCTTATAGAGTGACCCTATAGCAAAATGGGCTTCTGAGTGTGCTGCTGGAAAGGGCGAATTGTCCCAAATGCATGCTCACCCCTAACTTTTGAGGGGAAGAGTACAGAACCTGCTTTCCAGTGATGCCAGCAGACTGAACTTCTTCCTCAGGCCGTCCCCTTTCCTTGCCTTGATGACCCTGTAATGGATGTGGTTTATTATAGGCATATGCCTTGGGTAACAGTCATTTTGATTAAGCTATAAACCTACCCTCTTGTGACGAGGAAATAGTCAGGCTTTCAATTCCTGTGGAGAGGACAGACTATAGGGCAAGCCAATTTAGTTTAAATAATTTACAGATACCCAGTGAGAAGATTACCCCCTAAATATTTAAGGCCTTGAAGGAACAAGTTATTCCTAGTTGTTCAATGTTTTCTTTCTGGGAGAATTGCCTTGAGGGCAAATGCTGACTCATCGGTGACTCTATTTAAGGCCTTGAGTCTCAGAACTTAGACTCTGGGCACAATCACAGGACTGGAAAACAAAATGGCCAAGATTCTTCTTGTCTGATGTCTCCACAGAAATGGATCTCTTGTCTACAGATAACTGTGTATCCTGTGAGATATAATATTCTAGTATGTAATATGTGCCGGTATCTAGCATACTCTGAGTGAGAGCCTGAAAATTATCATATGCAATTAATTGATTAATGAAAATACATTTAAGGAAGGCTATGTTATGCCAAGTGTAGTAAGATACAAAAAAAATACAAGAAACTGTCACTATTTCAAAAGCATGCTCTCAAATCAGTGAATCTGACTGATGAATAATTTGAAATATAAGCTAAAAACATTATGAGTAGGTAAGATAAATGAATTAGGATTAAGCTGAGGCTTGAGTGTGGGTAAGGGTTGGACTAAATAAATGAAGAGAGAAAATTTGCCATGGTGGGACATATTAGGACTAGGAATTGTCATGTACCCTTCCTTCTCTCCAGACTCCTGACACATATAGGAAGCCCATAGAGCAACAATCTAATAAGTGAAGGTTAATATATCTAAGCAAGTAATGTGTTCCTCCAAATATAGTTGATTAAATTTGCTTAATACTGATGCTAAAGCTGGCTTCCTAACACTCAAATTAGAGACAACGTGTCTTCCATGCAGACCTGGCCTCCCTTTCCTCATCAGTGAGAATGGAGAGTAAGGGATTCCTCTGGCAGCCACCGTGAAGGGTGTTTTCCTGCAAGAAGAGCACACACCACCCTTGGATATAAGACAAAATAAGAATCACAAAGCCAGGTTGCTGGCTGTAGGCAGAATAGGTAGACCTACTAATAAGATACCAGTTTTTTTTTCCCAAGGAGAGAGGACAGCAAGGGTGTATTGGAGTCAGAATTCAATAATCGCTGTAAAGAGGTAGAGTATTCAAAATTATTAAAGTGATAGAGATTTTTAGTTTTCCCTGTTTTCCTGTCCACTTTCCCCACCATTAAGGTTTAAAACACGAAGCTCCTTGTGTCATAGGAAAAGAAAGTATTTACAAGAGCTCAGTGTACACATATGAATCTCAAAGCTGACATCTTTGTAACTAACATCTTAAAAAGCCTGAAATCTTAAAAATCAACATCTTAGTCATTTAAAAATCTAATATCTCAACTTCATGAAACAGAAAAGAGTAGGATCAGTGCAGTAGAAAGAAGCACTACAGAGTGGGAAAGGCGCCCCTGAAACACAGCATCAGGGTCCTCCTGAGATGAAAGCACATGCCAACCTGAGAACCCTAATGGAAGAAACTGAGGGACTGAAGGCTCCATGATTTTTCTAGTAAGTTCTGGAGCCAAAGCTTAATGTCATGATAAGTTTTATTTGCTGCTCATATCCCTTTGATTGTACCTGTAGAGAGAATAAATAATGTATTTATCTGTTCATACGTTCTCTCTATAGTTATTTGTTGGGAGAACTTAGAGTATAAGAAAAGTGAGCTTCCCCCCAAAAAAAGAAAAACAGAAGGTCTTGGACAAGGAAAATAAACGCTATGGGAAACAGAAAAGAGAAGAACAGAGAAGGGAATAATTGTATCCTGCTAACCCCTTCAAGCTGTTGCTCCTACAAAATTGAATCTCTGGCTCTGGGAATTAGAGTTGGAGGGTAGGGTTTGATATGTGGATTAAAATCAAGGGAATAAGTCACTCTGAGCAGCTGCATAATGTTATAAGATTTGGGAAAGTACAAGAAGGTCACAAAAAGGAGAGGAAAGAGGTGCCCCAGACATAGCCTGTAACCAGTATATCATATTTCCCTGAATGTTGAGCCTTCATTTTAAGAAAAAAACCCATATGCCTTCCAACACTCACCACACAGTCTTCACACACCACCCTTCCTTATGTGTAGTTTCATCACAACAGTTTTTAAAGTGTCCATCTCATAATCACTTAAAAAGCAGTAGATATTATGCATTTTCTGCATTACCCTGAAAATCACATTAATAATTAACGTATGACTTCCCAGAAACTGAGATCATCCCCTTCAATGTTCAGAAGATGAAGTCTATTAGCATTTTCCTTACCTTGCATCATGATGGCCTTTCCCACTTGCAAATGGAAAGCAATGGTCATCATGTGCACATGTGCATAAACACCAACCCAAACTGCTATGATTTTAGCAATTTTAATAATAGAAAAGAAATGTAAAAAACCTGATGTCACAGTCATTTTTTTCCTGCTAACCTGCAAAGCAAAAAAAAAGAAGACTTCATTTCAGAATTAAACACCCAGGCTTTGTGCATTGCTCTTTTCTATTTTAAATCTGAAGTCAGTGACATTCCTGCAGTGCTCTGGTAGCTACCAGTGGCAAACTCATCTCTCTGATCCAAATATATCAATTAGTCTAATGTCTGTCTCTTCAGAACATGTTAAGGTATTTTCCTTGTAATTTCTTGAAGCTAGAAGAATACCCTTCACACATGCTCCCTGCCAAACAACCTCCTCCCCTCATGTTTTCCAAGACCTGGTGAGGCTGTAACACATGGTGACAAGGAGGAAAGTCTCTAGGGTTGGACAGAACACAGTCCCAGTGACCCCTCCCTAGTTATATGACTTTGGACATGTTACTTCATCGCAATAAGCCTGAATTCTCTCATCTATAAAATGACAATAATAATACAGCCCCCATCTTGGTGTTTCTCCCACTATGACAAGTTTGCTAGAGAAACGGTATTCACTGCCTGAGGACAAAAGGAGTCATTTATCAAGTCAAAAATGTATTGACTGAAATGTCACTGTAATGAGATGATATAGGGAAAGGAGACTGTCAGTGGAGGCTTCCTAGTGATATTTATAAGGATTTTTATTAGCTTTTATGTGCAGTTCCTGACCATTGCTCCACAATCCAATTTATGTTAAATATGTTTTTGTCCTATCTGAGTTGTAGATATCCTTAAGGATATCTATTCCCTGATGGCTTTATAATCTCCACTCATTACATCTATAGAGACTTTATTTAACAAATGCTTTCAAACTCAAAATCTAGTCAAAATAAAGGAAAGAAGGAAGAGAGAGGAACATGTTTACTAAGTGCCTAATCTAGTTACCTCTCATATAACCTCATTTTTATTTATTCTCACAACATTCTGATTAAAACAGCATTAATATCCTTTCTTCCATCTTTTCTTCCTCCTTTCTTTATATCCTTTTTTTTCTTTCTTCCCCCTTCTTCCTTTTTCCTTTCCTTCTTTCTTTCCTTTCTTCTTCTCTACATTTATTTCTTTATCTTCTTTTCTCATCATCTTTTTTCATCAGAGAATTCTCAGACCAAGTGAGGCAGATAACTATAGAGGTCCTAAAGCCAGTAAAACTTGGTGTCAGAAGGTACACGCAAGTGTGTAGAAAATTCAAAGCCCATGCTATGTTTACCAGCTCACATTGCATACTAAGTAAAGACACATTTCTGTATTTCATGTGAATGGGCCAATGGGACTCCAAGGGAAGTCATTTCCGCTCCATCTTAACTGCCATGTACTTAACTGCCAGCCTCCTGAGGATCAGCTCCCTCTAGTAGGAGGTATCTGGGACAAAAGAGGAATTTCTGTAATGATCTTTCCATTTTTATGGAAAGAAGATGTTGTCACTAAACACAACGAAACCCAACAATTCTGCATAAGGACCAAGGGGTCCAGAATAGTAATCAGAATGGCAGAGTGAGACAGGGAAGCCTTTTAAAAAGAAGTGAATTTTGTACAAGGAATGTGCTAATTGGCCCTGGAGTGTGACTGACCAATAACAGCAATTGACTTGGAAAGACCTGAGGGCCTCACCCTTCAATCCTGCAAGAGCTTTAACATTCATCTTCTTGACAGACTGGCACAGCAAATTAACTTTCTCCTCTGCTCCATGAGATGTGATTGTACAACCTCTAATAGAAGAAAAGAAGCCACCCTTTAATCATCTTCTCTATGTCAGATAATATACATTATGCTACTTACATTGTTTTAATTAATCCTCACAATTCCCTTATTAAAATGAGTCCTGCTATTTCTGTTTTACAAAAAAAGACACAATCTCAGAGATATTGTGATGTGCCCAAAGTTTTACAAGTCACAGGCCAATATTTAAATCCAAATTTCTTGAGCTCAAGAGCCTTTATTATTTTCACTATATCATTTCATCAAATACTAGTTGTGGTCTTTCACATAAGAGTGAGAAACCTTTGATTTGCATCTGAAGCCATGTGCTACCAAGTTTGAGACCAAGTGCTTTTGAGCCATCTATCTATACACACATAGTTCCCCACTTTGGTAACCAAGAACTCACTATCATTGGAGAAGCTTAGGGAATAATCTGAGCCCTGGGAGAAGAAGTTTTCTTTGGACCAGAGTTTCTCAGAAGTCAATTGTCTATAAACCTTCTTCATTTTTTTTTAACATCTACTCATACCAACTACACCATTTTTTGTACATTATTTCTTTTTTTAACTCAAATTACTATGTTTTAAGAGCACAATTTATATCATCAGCACAAATAGAATCAGCATGAATTAATTAATTTTATGTTAATGAAAATCTGAGTTACCCCTTAAATTATCATCTGTATCTTCAGGAAAATGTTGACCAAGTTTTAGAAAATACTGCTCTAGGCAAAGCCAACCCATATTACCAATAAATCACAACTATTAACTTATTTGATATCTTATTAATGGAGCTGCTTAGCTGGTATAATTCAGTGTTCTGGAATGTAATCCTATTTGGGACCTCTGCCCTTTTTTGTCTTATTTTGTTTTAATTAGCACATAATAAGTGTACATATTTATGGGGTACAGGGTGATTTTTGATGCATGTAATGATCAAATCACTATACAATGTGCCACTTTTAAATCACATCTTAGCCTCTGAGATAATGATGAAGTATAGTCTTCTTTTGCTTTTTATTTTTATTTTTTTGGTAACAGCTTTATTAAGATGAAATTCAAATGCTTAAAAATTGACTCATTCAACATGTATAATTCACACAGTTGTGCAATTATCCCCACAATCAATTTTAGAATATCCTCATCTTCATCGTTCAAAAAAAAAAAAAAAAAAAACCCTGTACCCTTTCATAGTCACCCTTATTCTCCCATCTCTTGCAGCCCTTGGCAACTGCTGCTCTACTTTCTGACTCTACAGATTAGCCTATTCTAGATATTTAATATAAGTTGAATCATACCATCTGTGACCTTTTGCATCTGGCTTCTTATACTTAACATTTTTAAGGATCATCCATGTTGTAGAATGTAGCAGTACGTCATTCCTTTTTATTGCTGAATAATATTTTGCTGTATGGAAATTGTACATTTTGTTTATCTACTCATCAGTTTGTGGGCATTTGAGTTGTTTCTGCTCTTTGGCTATCACGAATAATGCTGCTATAAACATTCCTGTAAAAACGTTTGTGTGTATGTGTGTTTTCATGTCTTTTGAGTCTATGCCTAGGAGTGAAATTGCTGGTATGATGAAGAGCTTTAACAGTGTTTGGGGTTCTGTTTTAAATTGCCTTTTTGACCTCAATTTAATGACTCAAAGAAATGATATTATGCCTTCACCCATTCATTATAAAACTAGCCAAACAAGTCCTGCACATTTACCACAGAGGGGTCTTTTAAGGTAGAAATTGTATCATAATCATAGATAGAGACTAAAGAATCTGGGTTCTGCCACCAACTAGCAAAATGTTCATGAGCAAATGACTTTACCTGCTAGCCTCCATTATCCTTATTTGGAAAATGAAAGGATTAGATTTGTCATTGCCTGACATCCTTCCTCACTTTAATACTCTGTAATTTTATAAGCATATATGAAAGCATTTTGACAAGTTAAAGGTAGTTTTAAAATATAAGCCGTCATTATCACATACTGCCTCCTTGCTGAGAAATGGCTGTGTCCTATGGTGAAACAACATCAGCATTCAATCTTAAGGAAAAGTATGCCCAAAATAGACCATTTTCTCAAAAAACAAGAACATATTCTCATGTAATTCTCAGGTGCTTATGGGACCTATCAAAGGATGGGAAGATATACGTATTTTTCTCTATGTAATTCTACTTTCTTAAACAAAGAAAACACTATAAGGAGAATCCATGTGTTATTCCTAAGCAATATATTTGCAGCACTTCCCTGGTGACATAACTGGCTCTGGAAAGGAACACTGAGTTATGTCCTCTGGGGTAACTGGAATCACAGTGAAATTGTCACACAGAGAACTGAGTTGAAGGCTTGGAGAAAATGAGCACTCTGGCACAGAAAATTCTAAAAGGTACAATTAACTGTGTGATAAACACAAAGAATACACTTTTGCCAAAATATATCAGTATGATTAAGCTTAGAAATCCCAGAAAGTTCAGTTTCTTGAGTAGTCCCAATTCACATAGGAAATACATTGAGGTGCGCTATCTATCTATATAGCACCACCACCAATTTAAAACTGGATACGATTATCCCTCATGGTTCTGTGGATTGACTGGTCTCAGTTGTTCGTGGATTCCAACCTAAGTTTCTTTATGAGGTTACTCTCAGATAGTTGGGATCGTCATCATCAGAATGTTAGATATCCAAGATGGCTTGAGAGCTGGCCACTTTGTCTCCGTGTTAATACTTTAGTTCAGGAGAATTTATCTTTGATACCTTTGGCACTTAAAAATTTACAAATTGATGTATATCAATTTTTTTTACATCTTTTGATCATCAGGATAGTCCTGTTTAATAAACAGATCAAGAATGAAAAAACAGATTCAAATATGCTAATAGTTACCTAAAACAGCATGGCTACTCATAATAGAAAAAGCCCCCCAAATTGTTCTATTCTTGGTCCAGTATTCTTTTCATTATAATACCCTATCACTTCTTTGATTCTATGCAACCATAGTCTATTACTGAAAACTTTGATAAAATTGCTTTGACTTTTTGTCCCCAAACTTGCTTGCCAATAATGGGCAACAATTGAGCCTTATGCAGCCCTCTACGATCTAGAGTAAGTCAAATCTATCTTATACTTCGGAGCTCTTCAAGTGTTTGAAAACTCAGTTGTGTTCTAAGACATCACTTTCTTCCATTTCTCAATTATCTTTATGAATTCTTTTTCTGTCCTTGGCCTATGGGTATTGGTCAACATGTTTTTAACATCTATATTATTTTGATTAATCAAACATGAGATTTTGGGATTGGAGTCATATCATTACTTGACAGCAACAACTGTGTTGATTTCCTATACCCCATTCTCTTCCTTCAGAGTGATGAGATGAGACCCAGATATTACCCTGCATGTGCAAATGATTTTTGTTCTTTGGCACTACGAGAGAGGAACCCTGAAGGTATGAATCTAGGAGCTTATGTAGGAACTGCTATATAGGAACTGCTATATAGCTGCTATTCTTCCCTCGAAAGAGATAGATAAAACTTTTCTCTCTAATATTTTACAAACTTTTAACTTATAAACAAATGGCCCCAGAGATTTTTATCTCCCCCTGAAATAGAGACATAGCTACTAGAGAGAAAGCTTTTAATATTTCTGGAAGTCTCCATGCAGTCACCCTTTAATTGCCAGTATTTGTTGTTTTACTTAGTTTTCTTTGCTGGGGTTATAATTCTGTAAAAATGTAAAAATATTTTCTCTAGTTCCACATTAGTGTGCTCAGTGGTTAAGCCTGCAGCTCACTGGTCATCTCATCTCATGTAACAAAAGCTGCCAAGTGCTTTTCATGCACCGAATACTACATCTTATACATGCTATTGAATCCTCGGTCTCTCTTTCAGCACAAACTATTCCTTCAGCTTCAGATTTCCAATGTAGCTTTCCAGATGACATCTGCATGACAGTGTCTTTTGGGCATTTAAAACCCAGTGTGTTAAAAAATAAACCACCCACCTTCTCTTCCTAAACCATTCATCCCCATTTTTAGATACTTATGTATTAGGACCCCAGAGTCAAGAACATAAAGAGCCCAATAATCACATTAGTCTTCTCCAATTCACTGTGCCTTTCCTTCCTTTAAAAAAAAAAAATCCTTAGTACCTACTATGTGTCAGGCACTAACAAGCCAGCAGTGAACAAAGCAATCAAATTCCATGCTCACAAGGAGGGTAGAGAGACAGGCAATTGGCAGGTAAGCAAATGATCACACAATATAATAGGTGAATTAAATATTAAAAAGAAAACAATAAAGAGATTCCGGTATTTCTATTATCTGTATTACCACACAGAGTCATATTAGAAAATACCAGTTTTGATCTCTGACACAAGGTTTGACTTCTGAAACAGAACAGCTGAGTCACACACATGAAAAAACAATGATTTTCAATTCATCATCACTGATTAAACCTTCCTTAAAAATATGATTCTAACCCAGATATAAAGCAAGATAGAGATGCTTGTGCTTTGAAAGAGCCAGGGTCTGACTCCACCCTCTTTCCCCCATCAGTTCTACTGCACATGCCAAGACGAAAGTGGTCTCTTGCGTCCTTAAATCCTTGAGTGTCACTGTAGCATAGGAAGCTAAAGAAATAGGAAAAGAGGTGAGAACAGAGTAGTTTGGGGCTTACAGTTTTTCATACAATTTCTTTGAAGAAATAAGAATTACTGCTTGCTGTAAGTTGTGCAGAAAATAACTACATGTGAGTGTGTGCTTTTGTAGCCTTAAAAAATCCTTCATGCTTGGGTCTATTTTCTAGATGGATATATCCTTGTCGTAGAATCTGAACATCAATAGTTTCTGACATTTTCTTTAAAACACTGAAGCATCTTAAAGTCTAATCTATTTTGCTTCCTCCTGAATTGGATTCTGCCCGCTATGAGAACTGTACATGAGGTAAGAGGAAAATTTGGTGAGAAACTTTCTCCACTCATGGTCCAAACAAGTAACTTTTATAAACAGTATTAATTTATGTACTTAATTGACATTAATCAGAAGAGAAATAAAGTTGATAACTTAAAAAATAAAAGTTGGCCACGTTGGCAATATGTGGTCAAGATCTGAACTTCCTCATAAAAATGATTTTTTTCTTTACAAACAATATACCATGAGATTTATGCAACAGGGATTTCTGGCCTGAGGAAACTGGTACAAGAGAATTTTTTACAAAGATATATCCATATCTTAAAGAATAGGAATGCAGAGAGAGAACAACATGCAGACACAACACTGCAAAATAATTTTATCTCAGTGGGATCAAAATGTTTCTGTGAAGCTGCTACAGCTTCCCCTCTCAGAATATATTGCATTGTCTTAAATGCAGAACCACCAAGAAAAAAAAATGATGGAGAAAATAGAGGAATCCAAAATAAGCATGTTAAGTAAGGATTCATAGAAAATGCAAAGAGCAAAATCATAAGGTATATTTTTCTTTTATTTTCTACTAGATTTTATTCCTGAGTTCAGATATCTCCTCTCATATAGATAATTCAACTGTTTTTATTTGAAGCTAGTTTTATTGTAGTAAATATTTTTGGAATTCAAACTCAACAATCACTGCTATTGACCCACAGCAGAGATCAAGAAGGAAACCTATACTTCCATCCCCAATTGGCAATAATGAGATACCCCTCCCCCACTCAGGTGGAGTCAAAAGGCCTAGTGAAGCAACAAGACTTTTATAATTAGCCAGTGGTAATAAGGTAACCTCCACTGCACTGTCAGTAGAGACCACATGAAATGTTAGAATTCCTACCCCTACTCAGTGGTAGTAAAAAGACTATTCAGTTGTCAACAAACACTAAGGAACCTCGGTCCTTACTGACAACTACCTGACAGTAATCATGAAGGACCCACCTTTCTACTGCTGGAGTGTTGTCAGAGAAATAGAGCTAAAACAGTAGGTATAACTAAAATCTAGAGTAATAGCACAAAAAATCCAGGTTTCAATAAAAATGATTTTTTTTTTATTATGTTCTGGGATACATGTGCAGAATGTGCAGGTTTGTTACATAGGCATACATGTGGCATGGTGGTTTGCTGCACCCATCAACCTGTCATCTGCGTTAGGTGTTTCTCCTAATGCTATCCCTCCTCTTGCCCCCCATCATCCGACAGGCCCCAGTGTGTGATGTTCCCCTCCCTGTGCCCATATGTTCTCATTGTTCAACTTCCACTTATGAGTGAGAACATGCAGTGTTTGGTTTTCTGTTCCTGTGTTAGTTTGCTGGGGTTGATGGTTTCCAGCTTCATCAATGTCCCTGGAAAGGACATGAACTCATTCTTTTTCATAGCTGCATAGTATTCTATGGGGCACATGTGCCACATTTTCTTTATCCAGTCTATCATTGATGGGCATTTGGGTTGGTTCCAAGTCTTTGCTATTCTGAATAGTGCTGCAATAAACATATGTGTGCATGTATCTTCATAGTAGAATGATTTATAATCCTTTGGATATATACCCAGTAATGGGATTGCTGGGTTAAATGGTATTTCTAGTTTTAGATCCTTGAGGAATCGCCACACTGTCTTCCACAATGGTTGAACTAATTTACACTCCCACCAACAGCGTAAAAGTGTTCTATTTCTCTACATCCTCTCCAGTATCTGTTGTTTCCTGACTAATAAAAATGATTTTTTATACAAGAATCAAAAATATCTCAAACAAAATGAAAAGACACAAACAACAGATTACAATACCAAGACGACAGGGATGTTAAAATTATCTAGCAAAGATTTAAAAGGAGTCATCAAAAGAATCCTTTAATGAGTACAAACACTCAGGTTAAAAAAAAAAAGGAAAAAGAAAACCCCATTAAAAAATTAGAAACTATCAATAAAGAAATAGAAGCCAGCACTTTGGGAGGCCGAGATGGGCGGATCACGAGGTCAGGAGATCGAGACCATCCTGGCTAACATGGGGAAACCCCGTCTCTACTAAAAATACAAAAAATTAGCCAGGCATGGTGGCGGGCGCCTGTAGTCCCAGCTACTTGGGAGGCTGAGGCAGGAGAATCGCTGGAACCCGGGAGGCAGAGCATGCAGTTAGCCGAGATCACGCCACTGCACTCCAGCCTGGGTGACAGAGTGAGACTCCATCTCAAAAAAAAAAAGAAATAGAAGCTATAAAGATGAACCTAGTAGAAGATTTAGAGCTGAAACAATAAACAAAATAAAAAACTCAGATGAGCCCAACAACAAAATAAAGGGGAAAGTGTGAAGAGTAAGTGAATTTAAAGATGAAACTATGCAAACGATCCATGTAAACTGGAAAAAAATCAGAGACCTAATGGCATGTGGGACTTGCCACAAAAGATCTAATATTCCCGTCAGAGAGCCCCTGAAAGAGAGGAGAAAAAGGATGTGACAGGAAAAGTACTCAATGAAAAAGTAGAAGAAAACCTTCTAACTTTGGAAGGAGATATAAATCTACAAATCAATAAATCTGAATGCATCCAAAACAGGATAAACCTAAATAAATCCATGTCAAAACATAGCAAAAGAAACTTCTAAAAACTAAAGGTGGATAAAATATCTTGAAAGCAGCCAGAAAAACAGCATTTTACCTATATGGGGAAAGCAACTTGAATGACAATAGATTTCTCACCAGAAATCATGGAGGCTAATAGTAAATGTCCCAATATTTTTCAGATGCTGGAAAAAGAAAACAAACAAACAAACAAACAAACAAACCCTGAAAAGTCAATCCAGAAACCTAGAGTCGGTAGAAATATCCTTCAGGAATAGAGGGAAAATTAAGACTTTCTCAGATGAAACTGAGAAGAGAATTTGTCACCTACAGACCAACCCTAAGAGAGCAACTAAAGAAAATTCTGTAAAAAGAAAAAAAAAAAAAAGAGGGAACACTGGAACATCATGAAAAAATAATATAGTAAGCAAAAATATGGGTAAATGCAAATGTAAATTCTCCTCTTGAGTTATCAAAAGTATGTTTGATGGATGAAGCAAAACATAAAACAATCTGATGTGGTTCTAAATATATGTATAGAAAATATTTAAGACAGTTGTGTTATAAGCAGGGGAAGATAAAGAAATATAAAAATAGGTAGGGTTTCTATACTTCTCTCAAACTGGTAATGTAATGATACTAATGGACTGTAATAAACCATATATGTAATAAAATGCACAGAACAATCACTAAAAAGGCTATGCAAAGACACACTCAAAAACACCATAGGCAACTCCACTGAAGTGGTAGAGTAAGGACATTCAAAGGTCATCCACCCCATAAAGGCAATAAGAACACTAGCAGAATCAACTTTTTTGGAATGCTGAAAATCAACTAATGATTTGCAGCAATCCAGGGAGCATTTGCCCAAACAAAGAGGATTGATTCTCAGTAAGAACACTGAGCTTCATCAAGAAAAAAGATTTAATCTCACTTAGAACAGGGACTTTTGTGGCATTTTACATAGTCCTATTTCCATGCTTGCCTCTGCTGTGCCTTTGAAAACAAATATCTACAATGACAGTAAAAATGAGCACCCTGACAGACACTGGTCAGGGAAGAGAGGTGTTGGGCTTCTTCAAAACACTATATCTAGGGAATTGTAATTACTTGACATGTCTGACAGTTCCCTGGAAGACTTCACTGACAGAGATATCTTTATTTGACCAAGTTCAAAGCTTTCCTAGTGTACAGAGGCTTTTCTCTAGGAATGTTTGGCAATTCTGGAACACTGCATATGCCTAAAGTGTGGATAGGAGTTGGGGAAAACAATATTATAACCCAAAACTTAAAATAAATTCTGGAGAATGAGATGTTCATAGGGAACTTTGAAAAACTTCAACAGAGACTTCTGGTTTCTGGTCTGGCATGTAGGAAGCTGGGAAGTTGTCACTTACTCTACAAAACAAATACCATGATGAACAAACTGAAAAATCAGCAACTCTTTCAAATTAATCAGAGAAATGAAGTCAGAGGGCAAAATGCTACTCCCAAAATTGAAGAAAGGCAGATACTGAAAAATCACAATTGACCAGAGCAGAAACCCACAAGCAGAAACTTCTACGGGAACAAGTGCCAGGGTAAGAAAACCTAAACTATAATTGAAGAATTGCTGGAGGCTCAGTGTGGACAAGTCCAAGAGATAAAAACTCCAAAGGACTCAGTCATAAAAGGGAACCCACACTTTTGGGCGTTTTACCTCCAGGAGATCTACCAGGTCCTAACAATAAATATCAGAAAAACAATCCATTCATGTCTCTGTCAAGGGATAGAGAAAAAAATTTTCTCATCCTGGCTAACAAGGTGAAACCCCGTCTCTACTAAAAATACAAAAAATTAGCCGGGCGCGGTGGCGGGCGCCTGTAGTCCCAGCTACTGGGGAGGCTGAGGCAGGAGAATGGCGTGAACCCGGGAAGCGGAGCTTGCAGTGAGCCGAGATTGCGCCACTGCAGTCCGCAGTCCGGCCTGGGCGACAGAGCGAGACTCCGTCTCAAAAAAAAAAAAAAAAATTTTCTAAAAATAATTTGGAAATATGCCAGAAAATTCTATTCTTAACAAGGCCTAACTGTCAGTAGAATCTATTTTACCAGAGCTTAATATACCTGAGGTAAAGGAAATACCCAATTCTAGCTTTCTCTAGACTTCCACATGAAGAAAGAAAACTACATAACTCCAGTCCACTCCAGCTATCCTGTCCCACCTAGGTGGGATGTGGGGAATGACTGAGAAACACTGGTACAGTACACAGTTCTGGGGCACAGACTAAACAAAAGACTGAGATCTGATAGGAGAGACCTAATATGTATAGAAATAAAAAATATCCTCCTTTCCCTCACACACTAATGGCCTATGTATTGCCATTCCTTTTACCCAGTATGCCATGTTTGCCTTACAACAAAAAATTATAAGGCATACTAAAAGGCAAAAAATAAAAACAAAACAAAGAAACACAGTGAACAAGCATCAAAATGAGATTCAGATACGGCAGGAATATTAGAAATATTATACCAAAAAAATTTTAACAGACTGTGATTAATGTGCTATGGTCTTTAGTGGAAAAAATAGACAACAAGCAAGAACAGATGGATAATGTAAGCAAAAACATAAAAATTCTAGGAAAGAATAAAAAAGAAATGCTAGAAATCAAAACCACTTTAACAGAAATGAAGAATGCCTTTGAAGGGCTCATGAGTAGACTGAACACAGCTGAGGAAAGAATCTCTGAGCTTCAGGATATGACAATAGAAACTTATAAAACTAAAAACAAAGAGACACAAGACTAAAAAAGGACAAAATATCAAGGAACTGTGGGAAAACTAAAAAAGGTGTAACATATGCTTAATGGGACTACCAAAGGAGAAGAAAGAGATTAAGAAAACAGAAGCAATATTTAAAAATATGACTGAGAACTGCCCCCAAATTAGTGTCAGACATGAAACCACAAATCTAGGACACTCAAAGAACACCAAGTTGGATAAATACTATAACCAACCAAAAAATCAAACTATATCTTGGTATATCATATTCAAACTATAGAAAATCAAAGATGAAAAAGAATTCTTAAAGAGTCTAGAGGGGAAAAAAGTACCTTACCTATAGAGGAACAAAGATAATAAATACTTCTGACTTCTTAGAAACCGTGCAAACAAGAAGAGAACACAGTGAAGTATTTAAACTGTTGAAAGAAAAAGAAAACCAACCAACCAACCAAAACACCAATCTAGAATTCTGCACCCTGTGAAATTGCCTTTAAAAAACAAAAACTGAGAGAATTTTTTTGCCACTAGACCTGCCTGGCAAAAAAAAAAATGTTCAAGAAGTTTTTCAGAGAGAAGGAAAAAAATAAAGATCAGAGGCCAGGCGCGATGGCTCAAGCCTGTAATCCCAGCACTTTGGGAGGCCAAGGCAGGTGGATCGCCTGAAGTCAGGGGTTTGAGACCAGCCTGGCCAACATGGTGAAACCCTGTCTCTTCTAAAAACACAAAAAAATTAGCCGGGCATGGTGGTGTGTGCCTGTAATCCCAGCTACTCTGGAGGCTGAGGCAAGAGAATTGCTTGAACCTGGGAGGCAGAGGTTGCAGTGAGCCAAGATCGCACCACCTCACTCCAGCCTAGGCAACAGAGCAAGACTCCATCTCAAAAACAATAATAATAATAATAATAATAATAATAAAAGAAAGATCAGAAACTGGGATCTACATAAAGAAAGGAAAAGCATTATAAAGGCATTAGTGAGGGTTAAATAAACTTTTATATTTTTTATTCTTAATTGATCTAACAGATATAAGATATCAGTATGTTCAAAATAATAATAGCAACAATGTATTTAATTATACATGTTGAGGTATATATGTTTGTGTGCATGTGTGTGTGTGTGTATGTGTGTGTATGTATAATTACCTATAAGTAAAATGAATGACATGAAATGATACAAGGAATGGGAGGGAGGAATACAGATTTTTTAAAAATATTATTATGAAGTACTCACACTACTAGTGAAGTGGTACAGTTTTATTTGAAAGTAGTTTTAGCTTAGTTGTAAATGTATACTGCATACTCTAGCACAACCACTAAAAAAATAAAAATAAAAGTAAACTGACATGCTTTAAAAGGAGAAGAAATGGAATTATATAAAATATCCAATCAAAACCACAAAAAAACAGATAAAGAGGAATAAAGAATAAGGGCAACAGATATTAAATCAGCTATATTAGTAATCACTTTGAGCCCCAGTGGTCTAGGTGCACAAATTAAAAAACATATCTATCTTATTACAGTGGATCAAAAGACAAGACTCATTTATATGTTGTCTACAGAAATCTTCTTTAAATACAAGACACATATATACAAATAAATGAATTCAGAAATACATACCATGCTACACTTAGGAAAAGAAAGTAGGAATAGTTATATTAAATTCAGACAGAGATGACTTCAGAGTGAGGAAAGTTATCAGGGCTAAAGAGGGACATTACAAACTGAAAACAATTCTTCAATTTTTTAAGAAGTCATAGTAATTATTAACATGTAAACATCTAACAGTAGAGCATCAAAATATGTGAGGGAACACATTGAAAAAGATAATACACCAGCATCAAGTAGGATTTATCCCAGGAATGCAAAGATAGTTTAATATATGCAAATCAATAAATGTAATACATCACATCAATAATATGAAGGACAAAAACCATGTGATCATCTGAATAGATGCAGAAAAAGCATTTGATAAAATTCAACAACACGTAATGGTGAAAACTCTCAATAAATTAGGTATGGTGAGAAAATACTCAACATACCGCAGCTAACATCATACTGAATGCAGAAAAACTGAAAGCTTTTTCTGTAAGAACTGGAACAAGATAAAGATGCCCACTTTCACCACTCTTATTCAACACAGTACTGGAAGTTTAAGCTGGAGTAATTAGGCAAGAGAATGAAATAAAGGCCATCCAAATTGGAAAGGAGGAAGCCTGTCTGCAGACAATATCATCTTATATATAGAAAAACCCAAAGAGTCTACCAAAAAATTCTTAGAACTGATAAACGAATTCAGTAAAGTTGGAGAATACAAAACCAGTATCCAGAATTCTTGGCATTTCTATACAAACAATGAACTAGCTGAAAAATAAATCAAGAAGGAAATCACATTTATAATAGCTACAAAAATTAAAACACTTTGGAACAAATTTAACAGAGAAGGTGGAAGACCTCTATAAGGAAAATGATAAAACACTGAGAAAAGAAATTGAAGAGGATTCAAACAAATGAAAAAACATCCAATGTTCATGGATCAGAAGAATTAGCATTGTTAAAATGATTGCTACCCAAAACAATCTACAGATTCAATGCAATCTTTATCAAAATAGCAATGACATCCACACAGAAATAGAATAAAAAATCCTAAAATCTGTATGGACCCTCCAAGGACACTGAATAACCAGAGCAATTCTGAGCAAAAAGAACAAAGCTAACATCATCAAAATACCAGACTTCAAAATATACTACAAAGCTGTGGTAACCAAAGCTGCATGGTACTGGCATAAAAACAAAAACAGACCACTGGAACAGAATAGAGAACCCAGAAATTAATCCATGTAACTACAGCCAACTGATTTTTGACAAGGGCACCAAGAACATAGATTAGGGAAAGGACATCTCTTTGATAAATGCTACTGGGAAAACTGGATGTCTATATGCTGAAGAATGAAACTAAACCCCCACCCCTCTCTCTATACAAAAATCAACTCAAAATGAATCAAAGACCTAAATTTAAGACCTAAAACTATAAAACTACTAGAAGCAAACAAAGGGAAAATGCTTCAAGACATTGATCTGGGAAAAGATGTTATGAATAAGACCTCAAAAGTACAGGCAATAAGAGCAAAAATAAACAAATGGGATTATATCAAACTGAAAAGGTTCTATACGGCAAAGGAAACAATCAACAAAGTGGAGACAACCTACAGAATGGGAGAAAATATTTGTAAATTACCCATCTGACAGAGGATTAATATCCAGACTATACAAGCATCTCAGACATCTCAACAGCAAAAAGCAAACAATCCAATTTTAAAATAGGCAAATGATCTGAACAAACATTTCTCAAAGGAAGACATGCAAATGGCCAATACATACATGAAAAAAATGCTCAACATCACTAATCATCAGGGAGATGCAAATAAAAACCATAATGAGGTATAATCTCACCCCAGTTAGGATGGCCATTATCAAAAAGACAAAAAAGAAATAGCAAATACTGGCAAGGATGGAGAGAAAAAGGAACTTTTATACACTGTTGGTGGGAAAGTAAACTAGTATCGTCACTATGAAGAACAGTATGAAGGTTCCTCAGAAAACTAGAAGTAGAACTACCAGATGATCCAGGAATTCCACTACTGGGTATTTATTCAAAGGAAAGAAAATGAGTATATCCAAGAGACATCTGCACCCCATGTTTATTGCAGCATTATTCACAATAGCTAAGATATGGAATCAACCTAAGTGTCCAACAACAGACAAACTAATAAAATGTGTTACAGGAGCATACGTGTTCTCACTTATAAGTGAGAGCTACACACTGGGTACACTTGGACATAAAAATGAGAATAGATCCTGGAGACAACCTGAAGGAGGAGAGAGGGAGGCAGGCAAAGGTTGAAAAACTATTGTATACTATGCTCACTTACTAGGGTGATGGTGTCAATCTACCCCAAACCTCAGCATAACACTATACACACATGCAAAAAACCTATACATGTACTCCCTGAATCTGAAATAAAAGCTGAAAAAGGTGATATATATATATACACAATGGAATACTATTCAACCATAAGGAAAAATAAGATTTTGTCATTCACAGCAACATAAATGCAACTGGATGGCACTATGCTAAGTAAAACAAGCCAAAATCAGAAAGTTAACACTGTATGTTCTCAGTTATATGTGAAAGCTAAAGAAAAGTTGAGCTCATAGAAATAAAAAGTAGAACAGAAGATACTAGGGTAGATAGTCAACTAGATACTCTAGTAGATACTAGAGAAGTGGCAGATAGGAGACATTTGTTAAAGGACAGCTAAAAAAGAGGAATAGGTTCTAGTGTTCTATAGCATTGTAGGATGACTATAGTTAAAAATAACATTATATAGATTCAAATAGTTAGAAGGAGGATATTGAATCTCCCCAACACAAAGAAATGGTAAATGTTTGAGATGATGAATATGCTAATTACCCTGATCTTATCACTATACATTATATGTATGGCAACATTACTATATTCCCCACAAATATGTACAGTTATTATGTGTCAATTTAGATGGATCCACTATTATATTAATTGTTGAAGATTTCAGCCAGGCACTGTGGCTCACACCTGTAATCCCAGCACTTTGTCAGGCTGAGGCGGGCGGATGACAAGTCCAGGAGATCGAGACCATCCTGGCTAATACGGTGAAACCCCGTCTCTACTAAAAATACAAAAAATTAGCCAGGTGTGGTGGTGGGTGCCTGTAGTCCCAGCTACTCGGGAGGCTGAGGCAGGAGAATGGCATGAACCCAGGAGGCAGAGCTTAGCTTTCAGTGAGCCGAGATCACGCCATGGCACTCCAGCCTGGGTGACAGAGCAAGACTCCATCTCAAAAAAAAAAAAAAAATAGTTGAAGATTTCAATACCTCTCTATCAGAAATGGATAGATATAGCAGACAGAAAATCAGTAAAGACACAGTTGAACAATACTCAACAACACTGTCAATCAACTAGATATAATCAACTTCTATAGACTACTTTATCCAACAACAGCAGAGTACACTTTCTTCTTAAGCTCACTTGGAACATTTGCCAAAATAGGTAATATTCTGGATTATAAAACATACTTAAAAATCTGAAAATAAATCATACAAAAAGTACTCTCAGGCCTCAATAGACTTAAACTAGAAATAAATAACATAAATATAGCTGAAAAATCCCAAAATACTTGGAGATTAAGCAACACATGTCTAAATAACATATGGGTCAAAGAAAAGATCTCAAGAAAAATTTTAAAATATTTCAAACTAAATTTGAAAATGATGTTATAACTGATCAAAATATGTGGGATTTAATGAAAGGACTGCTTAGAGAAAAATTGTTAGCATTCAATGTGTATATTAGGAAAGAAGAAAGATGCATAATCTAATCTTCCACCTTAGGAAACTAGGAAAAAAAGAGCAAATTAAACCCAAAGTGAGCAAAAGGAAAGACATAATAAAAATTAGAGGAGAAATCAATAAAATTGAAAACAGGAAATCAATAACAAAAAAAATCAATGAAACCAAAAGCTGATTCTTTGAAAAGATCTATAAAATCAATAAGTCTTTAGCCAAGCTAACTAAGAAAATAAAAATAAGGATAAAAACAATAAACAAAAACTTCCTGGAAATAATAAGCACTTATAGCAAGGTGACAGGATATAAGGTTAATGTATACAAGCCAATACCTGCCAATTCCAACTTTATCTATACATTCACTGCAACCCCAATCAAAAGTTATTTTGTGGCTACTGATAACTAATTCTAAAGTTTACCTGGAGAGACAAAAGACCCTGAATAGCCAACACAATATATAAGAATAAAGTTCTGACACTACCTGACTTAAGACTTACTATAAGCCTACAGTAATCAAGACAATGTATCATTGGCAAAGTGTAGACAGATCAACATAACAGAATAGAGAGCCCAGAAATAGACCCAAATAAATATAGTTAACTGAGCTTTGACAAAGGTGCAAATGCAATATACTGGAGCAAAGATTGTCTTTTGAACAAATGGTGTTAGAAAAACTGGACATCTATATGCAACAACCACAAAAACAACAAAAGAATCTAGACACACATCTCACACCTTTCACAAAAATCAACTCAAAATGTAACATAGATCTAAGTGTAAAATGTATAACTACAAAAGTTTTAGAAGATAACATATGATAAACTCTATGGGTATGGTTTGGTATAACAACCTTGAGTATAAAAATGTCATTTTAGATAGGATACCATAGGTATGATCCCTTAAAGAAATAATTGATAAGCTAGACTTTGTTAAAATTAGAAACTTCTACTCTGTAAAAGACAATGTCATGGAAATGAGAAGATAAACCACAAACTAAAAAAAGATATTTGCAAAAGTCACATTTGATAAAGAACTGTTATCTAAAATACGCAAACTCCCAAAAAATCAACAATAAAAAAAAACTAAATTAAAATTAGGTGAACGACCTGCATAGATACCTTTTCAAAGAAGATATACAGATGGCAAATAAACATATATAAAAAGATGTTTAACATTATACAGCATTAGTGAATTGCAAATCAAAACAAGATTCCACTATACACTATTAAAATAACCCAAATCCAAAATACTGACACCACCAAATGTTGGTGAGACTGTTGAACAAGAACTGTCATTCACTGCTGATAGAAATGCAAAATTGTTCAACTACTTTGTAGAATGGTTTGGAGATTTCTTACAAAACTAAACACATTCTTACATACAATCCAGCAATCACGCTTCTCAATATTTACCCAAAGGAGTTGAAAATATGTTCATGTAAAAACTTGCACACAATGTTTATAGTATATTTATTCATAATTGCCAAAACTTGGAAGCAACCAAGATGTCCTCAGTAGGTGAATGGAAAAATGAAATATGGTACATCCAGTAAATAAAATATTATTCCATGCTAAAAATAAATGAGCTATCAAGCCATGAAAAATCATGGAGGAAATATAATGAACATTACTAGATCAAATAAACCAATCTGAAAAATCCACATATTGAATGATTCTAACTTTAGGACATCCTGGAAAAGAAAAAAACTATAGTGACAGAGAAAAGCTTAGTGGTTGTCAGAGGTTGCAGGGAGGGAGGGTGGGATGAGAAGGCAAAACACAAAAAGTTTTCAGCCAGTAAAACTATTTTACAAAATGAATGGTAGATACATGTCACTGTACACTTACCAAATACATAGAAGGTACAGAACTAAGAGTGAACCCCAATGTAAACTATGGCCTTTAGGTGACAATGATATGTCACCAGGGTCATTAATTATAACAAGTATAATAACTTGGTGCAAAGAATAACAACAACAAAAATTATTTACATTCCAATATTTTTCTATCTAAATGGCCAACACTTACCTAGAGATATTCACATACCCAGGCCTGTGCATTTGCTTACAAAAGACCTAAGAAAGCCCTGAACTCTCACTTCTGTTTAATCTTGAAGCTCTGTGCCAGGAGGAAGTGAAGGCTAAAGTAGAGTTGTAAATTGCTTGGCTGTGTTTCGAAATTATGCACCAACACATTGACAAAGCCCCTTAGCAAAGACTTGAAGACTTATCAGTTCTAGGTATTTAAGAAAATCTCTTTCCAATCACTATCTGACCACCAAACTAACTGAGCACAGCCTTCAGTGGCCATGTATGACATAACAGCATATTTTATATAATTAGTTCATAAAAAGCACTAAACAACAACAAAAACCAACAGCAACACCAACATACAGCAATAACAACAAATCTTGGGAAAACGGAAGTATCTGATCTCTGGAGCTGGTACATTATATTATTTAAAACATCAGGTTTTTAACAACAACAACAAAATATTTAACATGCCACAAAGTAGCAACAAGGTGTGGCCCATACTCAGAAAATATAGACCTATCCCTGAGGTAGACCAGATATTGGAATTACTAGCCAAAGACTTTATATCAGCCATTTAAAATATGTTCAATGAACTACTATAAGCTATGTAGAAAGAAGTAAGAGAATGATGTCTCAACAAATGACATATATCAATAAGGAGATATAAATTATTAAAAATGACCTAAATAGAAATTCTGAGATTGAAAACTACAACTGAAATAAAAAGACAGATAATGGCAAGTGTGGGTGAAAATGTAGAGAAATTAGGACCCTCACACATTGCCACTGGGTAAGGGTGATACAAAATAGTGCAGCTTTTGTGGAAAACCTTTTGAGAGTACCCCAAAAAGTTAAACATACAATCACCCTGTGACCCAGCAATTCTACTCCTAGGTATAAATTCAAGAGAATTAACTACACATGTCCCCATGAAAACTTGTACACAAATGTTCATAGCAGCATTTTCCATAATAGCTCCAAACTGGGAACAACACAAATGTGTATCAACTGATAAACTGATAAATAAAATGTGGCATATCCACATAATGTAATATTATTCATGTCTAAAAAATGAATGAAGTGCTGATTCATACTGCAACTTAGATGAACTTTGAAAACATTATGTTAAATAAAATAACTCACAGCCAGATGGGCAGATATTATATAATTTCATTTGTATAAAAATCCAAAATACTCCAATCCATACACAGACAAAATAGATTAGAGGTTGCCAGGTGCTAGATGGAGGGAAAAATGGAAATGACTGATAATGGTTGTGCAATTTCTTTTGAACACGATTAAAACATTCTAGAATTAAATAGTGGTGCACAACTTTGTAAATATACTAAAACCACTGAATTATAAACTTTTAAATGATAAATTTTATGGTATGTGAATTATATCTCAAAGATATTTATAAACACTATTGCTAAAACAAAATGAAATTATTATTATTATTATTATTATTATTTTGAGATGGAGTTTCACTCTTGTCGCCCAGACTGGAGTGCAATGACGCGATCTCCACTCAATGCAATCTCCACCTCCTAGCTTCAAGCCATTCTCCTGCCGCAGCCTCCCAAGTAGCTGGGATTACAGGTGCCTGCCACCACACCCAGCTAATTTTTTTTTTTTTTTGAGACGGAGTCTTGCTCTGTCGCCCAGGCTGGAGTGCAGTGGCGCGATCTCGGCTCACTGCAAGCTCTGCCTCCCAGGTTCATGCCATTCTCCTGCCTCAGCCTCCCAAGTAGCTGGTACTACCGGCGCCCACCACCATGCCCAGCTAATTTTTTTGTATTTTTAGTAGAGACAGGATTTCACCACGTTGGCCAGGCTGGTTTGGAAATCCTGACCTCAGGTGATTCACCCGCCTCGGCCTCCTGGGATTACAAGTGTGAGCCAATGCGCCCAACCAAAATGAAATTTTTTAAAATGGTCAAATAACTCAAGGAATGATGCAGAAATAAAACACAAGGAAAAAAGAAACAAAAAGTAAAAAGGCAGACAAGCTCTAGTATGTCAACAATTACATTACACGTATGTGGTTAAAATAGACCAATTAAAAGATTTCTACATTGAGTTTGACAGAGTGGATTTAAAACCTGACTCAACTGTATGCTGTCTACAAAAAGCTCACTTCAGGTATAACAATATAGGTAGGTAAAACAGAAAAAAATGTAAAAAGATGTATCATGTGAAAATTAATTAAAGAAGGAGTAGCTATATTAACATCAAATAAACAAAAATTACCAGAAACAGAGGAGGACAGTTCATAATGACATAATATACTAAGACAATATGGCAATCCTAAACATTTATGCAGCAAACAACAGAGCTGTAAAAGGAGCAAAGCAGTAACAAAAAGAACTAAAAGGAGAAACAGACAAATTCATAGTCATAGTGAAATACTTCAACATCCCTTTATCAGTAATCGATACTTTGACTATATAGAAAATCTTAAAGCATATAGAACAACTCCACAACACCACAAAGTATCTAATTAACATTCATAGGACACTTCACCCAACAACAGTAGAATACGCATTACTTTTACGTGCCCTTAGCACATCCTGGGCAGTAAAATAAACCTAAAAAATTAAAATAATTGAAACCATATGGAGTGCATTCTCTGAGTACAATGAGTCAAACTAGAAATCAACAACAGAAAGATAGGAAAACCTTCAAATAGTTGGGCGCTAAACAACACACTTGTAGGTGATTCGTGGGTCAAAGAAGACCTAAGATAAATAAAAATTGACATTGAGCTGAATTAACATACATATGACAACCTACACATATACATACATAACATATACATACATATTACTACAATATACCACACTTTGTGGGAAACAGATAAAGCAGTGCTAAAAGGGAAATTTGCAGTAGTAAACAAATACATTGGAGAAGAAAAGTCTCACATAAATAATCTAAGCTTCTACCACAAAAACCTGGCAAAAAAGAAGAGCAAAATAAACCCAAAGTAAGCAGAAGGAAGATACAATAAAGAGCAGAAATCAATGAAATTAAAAATCCGTTAGAAGATCTTAAATGTTGTGTAAAATTTAGCCAAGGGAAGGGAAGGAGTAGAAGTTACCTCAGCGTTCTGTTTGGTAATCTCTTGCTTGCAAGAAACAAAAATTCACTTAAACAAATCCCAACAAAAAGGCAGTTATTGGAAAGGTAGAGGTGAATCCAGGTGGCCCTGTAGCAGGTAGAGAGAACCTCATTGAAAACTGATTGCTATCATCTACTCTCCCACTACTCACATGGACCCCAGGAGCTAAATCTAATTCTGTTTGCACACCTACTCCACTCTCCTGATTTTTCTAGTATCTTTGCCTTCTCTGCTTCCTGGTAAGTTTGGCCCACAAAACTCATTGGCATGCTTTGGCACCAACTCCAGCCCTGAATATGTTCATTTTACATCTGGACTCACCATAGCTAACTAATTCAATCCCTGTATTCAAATTTCAAATTTCACAGAAGAATTTGCTAGCTTAAGTCAGATGTCCATTTAGTCCAGTTAACTGTAACTGGGTAAGGCAGAGTCATATGAAAAAAAAAAGAAACAGAAAATAATAGATCCTGAGAAATGAAACAATATCTAAACCATCCTGACAGAAAATACACAGCTTAAATGAAGTAACCGAATGGTAATGGATTTTGCGGTACTTAGACAATTAAAATACTTCACCATGGTGACATGGTGTACAGCCTGGCTCCCAAACTCTTTGGCAAGTTAAAATCACCTGAGAAACCTTTAGTATTTTTCAATAATCAGAGCACACCTCAAGACAAATTAAATCACAGTATCTGGAGTTAGGGCATAGGAATAAGTAGTTTTTGAAATTCCACAGGTAATTCCAATATGTATACAATTTGAAAAAATACTTATGTAGAGAGGAGTGATTCTCCAATTTTGCTATACGTTAGAATCACCTAGAGAGCTTTAAAAATTCCATTGCTTAGCCAGTATCCCATACCAATTAAATCAGAATTTCTAAGGTAGGACCCAGTCGTCAGTAATTTTTAAAACACCTTAGGTGATTCCAACGCACAGCAAAATGTGAGAATAGTGGTTTAGAGTATAAGAGAACAGAACAGACCGTAAGTGGGAAAAAATAATATGGTTCATGGATTTGGCAGGGACAAGACAAAAAGTATTTGTTTACCATAAAAGATAAGAAGAGAAAAGGAAAAAAAAGGAAAAGAAAAGAAAAAGCAAAGCCTCTTAATAAATGTATAGAAAGTGTCATATAAGGTATGAATGGAATAACATTTGTCTTTGAGAAAGATTACCCTATCAATGATGAGACAGACTCTCCCAAATGTAGACTTTCTTACCTTATGGGAGAATTACTTTCAGTGCTTGCTTTAAAAAAATTGACTTCAACTTTCAGAGTCTCTGACTTAGTTTGAGATGATGACTAGAGATTTGCATTTTTCATATTGCTCTAGGTGAATTTTATGCATGAACAGCTTGAAAATCACTGAACTGGAAAAAGTCCATACTGGAGGTAAATATACTATTGCAGGTTATTTCAATCAACCAAATGAAGAAGAATGGAGGCCTGTAATAAGCCGGTTGAAGTAGATTGGAGGTACAAGTTTAGGAGGTAGAATTTTCAGGACGTAGTGACATGATTAGCTCAGGGAAAACATGGAAGAGGAAGATGTCAATGTTCTGTGACTTCAATGTTGAATGGATGTTAGTGCTCAGATGGAAGATGATATAAGAAGATCTAGACTGGGGTCTGAGGATGGAAGATGCAGTAGAAAGAATCCAGTATTTACACGGTGCCTAATAGATGGCACAATTTCAATAAATACTAATTGAATGAATATTCTTAGCTATTTTGAGTTCAAAGCCCTAGAGTGGTATCTAAATATAATCTAATATATGGGTTAAAGTTCAAAAGGAGCGGTATAGGCCAGAGCACTATGATAATCGTTAGCATTAGTGGTAGAAATAAAAATTGTACCATTCAAATCTTGATCTGTGATGCAATATGAGTAAGCCAAATGTGGAAGACAATACACGTGAACTAAGAAGTATGAAGATGAAGACCATTCCACAACCAAAAGGAGAGACCACTGGGGTTAACTTTGCATACTCTCACCAGTTCTCAATGCCTATTCATAGTGCAGTTAAAAGCTCAATGTTCATCGTCCAGCGGAGGCAACATGACAACCCTAGAAGATGCCTTACTGGTCCTCACTGTGGTCATGTGTGACCTTCCTTGACATCAACGATACCCCTCACTTGAATTCTGAAGCTCACACCTCTTAGGGCAATCCGACCTTAACCATCCCTACTCCAAGAACTGTGCGATTTCCCTTTTCAATTGCGGAAGCAAAAAGGGTCTTGTTTTGCCAACTTTGAGGGATAGTGTAGAGTTATCCACCCATTATCCTAAGAGCTACTACTATCTTATTTGTCTTCAGGAAGCTCTTTCTATTTCCTACCCTGATCTGAGGGAGGAAAATACTGACAGCACCCTAAAGTTGATCTGCCTTCCCAAGGTAATATTTCTCTCAACTCTCTGGCTGCAGCAGGGATCCTAAAAGTACCATTTGCTAAATTATCAGTACAGTATCCTGTTTGAAACAGGCCTTCATAACCTACAAGAAAATTACTTCCAGTGATTTCTTTAAGAAAAAAGTGACTTTAACTTTCAGATTTTCCTCTGCCCATCAGCTCTTTTGCAATTAAAGTAACAATGACTTATTTTCTCAACTCTCTGTACAGAAAACCATGAACACTATGGATAGATTGAACTACTGGGACCCAATAAGCCATTCAACAAATGAAACACACCTTGAGGTTTAGGAAATAGACCCAAAGATTGTAGAAAGGCCATAGGTTAGGCTTTATTATGCTAATTCAAAATAAAATTAAAGATTTCTAAGGAAACAGAGTTGATCCCTCACCTGAGAATGACGAAGTAAGAGAGTGTTGCAGAAATAATCTATAAAGCAGCACACCAACATGGCACATGTATACATATGTAACAAACCTGCACATTGTGCTCATGTACCCTAGAACTTAAAATATAATAAAAAATTATATATTAAAAAAATGAGGCTGATATATATACACTGACATTGAAACATATTTAATGTAGACATTTAAGAGAATAAAAACAAGCTGTAGAATAAAAAAAAAGTGCACAATGTTATTTGTGCCATCCGTTGGAAATTAACATGATTCCTTGAAGATGCATAGCAATCCAAGACCAGGTTGCATTTGCAGAAATGAACTTTTAATCCCATCAGCAGCATTCAGAACAGAAAATCGTTATTCATAGTCTAATCTGACCTGGACTGGAGGTTTGCTTTAAATATGAAATAGTCTCAGCCATAAGACAAGTCTGTATGCCAAGATCACCAGTTAAAAAAAAGTGAAGAGAAATTGTAGGCTTGTGTAGTTTCCAAGTCTCTGTTATAAACTGTCCCAAACTGATCTGGTCTTTCTACAAGATGCTTTCTGGTGAATGTCCAAGCCCCCGATGATTAATGAGCTTGCTCCCAGGTGGCTTGCTCTAATGTTATAATGTAAGAAGGCTCAGACACAAACTTATAAACACATACAAACATTTACTATCAGGCAAATACCAAAACATTCATGTGACATCCTCATTCTTTGTCATCATCGACAATCACAAGCATCTTTCATGAAAGTTTTATTCCAAAGCAAATGTGGATGGTACAGTAGATTGTCAGGAGATCCAGCTAAACTTGTAGTTATATAAGATGCCAAAATCTTCTGTTAAGTTTGGGGCAATAGACCAAATGAGTTCTAGATTGATTTTTGTGGTGCCACATAAAAGCTGCAATATTTTTAATCAATCATGTTTGGTCATTATTCATTTCACCAATGCAAGTATGATTTCTAATATCTCTTATGCTAATCAAAAACTGTCTAGTGCAGTGCTCCCCAAATTAATGTTTACAGAATCCTCTGGGGGTCTTGTTAAAATACAGACTCATAAGGTCTGGGTTGTGGACCTGAAATTCTGCATTTCTAATGTAGATGACAATGTCCTTGCTTCTAGTCTCTAGACCAGACTCTGAGTAGCAATAGGCTAGTGCATATTTAGACAGTGATATTGAAGTGCCTGCTTGAGCCTCCTCTGAGGTTTGTATTCCTGAGTAGGATCTTTAAAATGCTCACTTGCCTCTTTTGGAATGTAGATTTGAAAAGGATATGGCAAATGTTAAACAGTTATTTTGCCATAAACTTAATTTTCTCACACACATATCCAACGGCTTTTGCTGATGTATTTTAACTTTACTAATAGGCTTGCAACTAAAAGCGATGTTCCTTCTCATTGCTATTGGAACCATATATTAATTGACAATGCAATGTTTAGCATACATCAACATTAAACACAATAGGCTCCTTTGATAACAATGTGTGTTGTGTGTGCTACTTGCATCCAATCTAATTAGATGAGTTTTTATCCCAGCCAACTGAAGATTAATACATATACAGTATAATCTCTTAAAATATTGGTGCTTTGGTTTGTTAGTAAGAAACTACAATAGAATCTATTTCTGCCATTGGGCATATAATGACTCAAAAAATACAAATATACTACATGTTTATTAGACAGTATGAATCAGTTCAGTGGCAATGGACAAAGATACTAGAGATACTAGGAGCTAGGCTTCACAGAATGCGTGAGTGCTTCGATATGGGCTTGAGGAACAGCCACTCCTTGCATTTTGCTCTAATGGTTTACTTAAAGCCTAATATTTCCAATATCATTTTTTCTTAAATTCTCTTTTCTGAACATTTTGGGTTCTCTAGAAGGTATTGGTTTGGCAAGAAAGAAACTTGACAGATAAGTCACACTATTAGAGTCACTATTATAGCCCACTTTTATAGCTGCCGTGTAAGACACTAGAATTGTCCTAGGACTCAACTTTAATATATATGTCTGGATCCTGAGAGAAAAGATCAAAGAGAAAGTATGGCTGTTATTAATTCCCAAAGTGAACCATTCAAGATTATGTTAGGCTGCATGTAATTAATTGTAACCTTACTACTATGAATAAACCAAGGAGGGATTAATAAAAAATAGAGTGCTGCAGGGTTATATAATTCCTGAGGGCCTTCTTCATATTGCAGCCCTTAGGATTCTGCTACAGCCCTTAGAATTGGTCCAACTGTAGCTACAGTGTGGACGGAGCCCCTTCCATGTGGTAATGTTGAGATAAGCAGGCAGTTAAGGCTGGTATGGCTTCTGAGTTCCATTTTCCTGCTCTGCCATCCTTAGAACATGCTTTTCTTCTGATTGCAAAGGTGAGCCCTGCAACCCCAGGAACTCTGTCCACATTTTCAATAGTAATATAGCAGAAGGGCAATCAATAGAGAGGCTTTTCCTCTAAAGTCTTTGACTTTGGGACTGGGGAAGGGACAACCTGTCCAGGAATTGTTTGCCTATATTGCACGGCTAGAACTGAATTACATTGCCTCCTGTAGCTGCAAGGAAATCTGGGAAATAAGTATGGGATTACCCACAGGAAAATCAGGATTCTATTAGTAATGAACAGGGGAGTAGGAATATCAGATAGCAACTGGCAGTGTTTACTATACCCAGTAACTTGAATTCAGACATTCTCCCAAGAGACTGAGGATGAGGAGGGCCTGAAGAATATGCACCCATACCCAGTCTAGAATGCTCTAATTTACCATCTATTATCTTATGTATTTTATGTATTTGTTTTATATGTCTCTTTCCCACTTGAAAGCAAGTTTGATGTAAGCAGGATTTTTTTTTCCTTTTTGGTTAAATTCTGTATTTCCCAATTCTTAGAACAGTGACTGGTACAAAGGAGGTAAATAATATTTGTTACATGAGGAAACGAATAGTCATCCCAGCCAGGGAATAAGTAGATCTGAGCTCTACCTAGCAATAGGTGGAAATGAAATAAGGGAGGAGATAAATATGAGCTGCTAAGATGTCCATGTTTACTTCATTGTGAAACTCTAGAATTTTAAAAAGAAACTTTCAAAAACGGATCCATGGATTAGTTGCATAGCATCGCAGCTAACACTAAAGGGTTCTACAGGGACTTCATAGTTTAAAAAAAGAAAAAATCAGGAAGTAGAACTACAAACGACAAAACTTTTCCTAAAACCCATGATGCTTAGAGAGCAATTCCTTACAAGAGAGCTCCAGCAAAACATACAGATTTAGAACTTGCCACCAGGAGGAGCTACTGAGAGATCCTACTTTTCCAAAGGTGTCATTAGAAGAAGCAGATGTCCTCCAGGCAAAAAGACAATTTGATTTGGAGATTTCTGCAGTTCTTTGCTATTCCCAAGTGATCACTTTCACAGGAGAAGAACACTGGCTCTAATTTCCTATTTTGCATGAGTAGGGAGACTTTAGGGGTTAATATCCATTATGTATTATATGTTGCTGAAAAGAGAATATAACTTTTTCACTGGCAAAAATAGTGTGAGGGTCAGTGAGGCCAGGTGCAAGAAGGCCTTGGAGGGAAAAAGAAAGTTAGAAACACTAGGCAAAGATTTCTTGTGTAGTTAGATGCACGTTAGCAATTTGGCCCCTTTTCGGAGCATAGGAAGAGTCCAGACAAGTGACTGAAGAAGTAAACAAACAGTATGCTAAGGCCGGGCGCAGTGGCTCACGCCTGTAATCCTAGCACTTTGGGAGGCTAAGGCAGGCAGATCACGAGGTCAGGAGATTGAGACCAGCCTGGCTATCATGGTGAAACCCCATCTCTACTAAAAATACAAAAATTAGCCGGGCATGGTGGCAGGTGTCTATAATCCCAGCAACTCGGGAGGCTGAGGAACGAGAATCTCTTGAACCCAGGAGGTGGAGGTTGAAGTGAACGGAGATTACACCACTACACTCCAGCCTCGGTGACAGAGCGAAACTCCATCTCAAAGAAAAAAAAAAGAAAAAAAGAAAAAAAAAAGGAAAAAGAAAGAAAGAAAATGTATGCTAAGCTACTTACAGATAGAGTATGAGATCTGGCCACGTAAAGATCTACTGGGTGAAAATGATTGAAATCAAAATCTTCAATAATGAGAATGATCTAGTAACTATTCATAACTGATACTAATAATTACCTCAATTTTGCTCTGGGAATTACCTTAAATTAATCAGTTGCAAAGATACGAGTTACAAGGGCAAACAATAAAAATTAAAATATCTACCTTCTTATTATTGATGATTGAATGGAAAATGCTATACAGACACTCTGGGATCTCACCTGAGTTGATATTTAGGGATTAACATATATTAATTATTTTATATACATACACATATCAATATCTTAATTAATATATATTCTATTTAAATGTCTTAACTGTGCAATTTTATTGCCCAAATAAGATATTATTTGATAATATTTTATAAAATCAGGATATACATCTAAAGTGCACTTAACATTTTCTCAACAGATAGACAAGATGCATATTTTCTGCTTCTAGGTACTCAGAAACTGAAGCAGAAGTAAATTATATGCATAAAATATAGAAAGGTCAACATTGTAGATATAAAATCAGAGGTATAGATATAAAATTGGAGAGACGACATTTTGCAGTTTGATGCATCTTAGAGTCAGAGAAAACCACGTTTAAATCCCTGAGATACCATTTACCCACTGTGTGATTGCAGGCAATGTACTGCATACACCTAAAATTCAGTTTTCTGATCTATAAAATGAAGATCTGAATATCTTTTATTCTGGTGACAAGTGATTTAGTGGGAAAAATCAAAGATGCCAAGCACACAACCACTTCTTGATAATTGTCAGTTATGAAACCTAATACATATGGACGTTGAATTGAGAGAGTAAAACAAAGTCATTACCATCAGCTTTTCTACTTCAGAACAGGAAATTTTTTAAGTAGGAGACGGGATGGGCAATGAAAACTCTTCTGCCTGGAATTATTTCTCCATTTGGCCCTGGTAAGGCTTAGGAATCCTGATATTAAGATTTCATTTGAATTAAGACAATCAAACTTTATTTTAAAATTCACGTTTGGTATCTGTGGTAAGCAGAATATTGGGCTCCAAAGGCATCTACATCCAAATTGCCAGGATCTATAAATATGTTCTTACAGGGCAAAAGGGATTGTGCAGATATAATTAAATTAAGGATCCTGAGATGGAAAGATTATCCTGGATTATCCAGTTGGTACAAATCCAGACCTTAAAATTGGAGAATTTTTCCAGTCTGGGTCAGAAAGATGAGACAGAAGAAGAAAGAGAGATTTAAAGCATTGATGGGCTCAATGTGCCATTGCTGGCTCTGAAGATGGAGGAAGGAGGGAAACACTGGCAGCCACTATCAGCCAGCAAGAAAACAAGGATCTCAGTCCTATACCCACAGGAATCAAATTCTGCTAAGGACTGGAATGAATAGGAAACAGACCAACCCTTAGGGCCTCTAAAAAGACCACAATCCTACCAATACCTTGATTTTAGCCCAATGAGACCCATGTCACACTTCTGACCTACAGAACTGTGAAATAATAAAATGTGTGTTGTTTAAGCTGTACATAGCAAGGAATTTGTCCTTACGCAAAGATAAATCTGCTCTTTTTCTTTGACTATAAAGTGGTAATCTCTGGGCCCCTGGAATGTCTGTCCTGCCTGGCAAGAGTGTCCTTGTTTTCCTGGGAGCTTTTTCCACCAGACAGTCCAATAAAGTGATCTATAATGGGGGCTTTGGACAACACTGTATCAATTCCAATATCTGGAGGAAGTGGAGACTAAAGATCTTAGCTCAACTCAGAGAGAAGCTAGAGGCTAAAGGTCAGCCCAATGGGAAGTATGTATTTGAATCCCAATAAAAATTCTGGAGAGACAGGCATGGTGGCTCACACCTGTAAGCCCAGCACTTTGGGAGGCCAAGGTAGGTGGCTCTAGCCTGGGCAACATGGCAAAACCCTGTCTCTACAAAAAAAGTATACACACACACACACACACACACACACACACACACATATATACATACAAAAATTACCCAGGTGTGGTGGCTCACAACTGTGGTCTCAGCTACTTGGGAAGTGGAGGTGAGGGGCAGAGGTGAGAGGATCACTTGAGGCTGCAGTGAGCTGCAATTACGATCATGCCATTACACTCCAGCCTGGACCACAGAGCAAGACTCTGTTTCAAAAAAAAAAAAAAAGGAAAAGAAACTATGGATACCAAAGGCTTGGGTGAGCTTCCCTGATTGACATTCCATCGTGCATATCGTCACACATAGTGGCCTGGAGGAGATGACACTGTCCATGACTCCACTAGGAGAAAATCACCAGAAGTTCTGTGTTCAGATCCCCTCACCCCAGACCCTCTCCTTTTGGATAATGCTAACTTGGATTCTTTTCCTGTCCTGTAATAAATCACGAGTATTATAGCTTTCAGTGAGTAGTGTGAGTCATTCTAAAGAATTTTCAAAACCGAGTGGTCACTGGGGACCCCAAAATTTGCAGCCAGCTGATCTGAAGTGAGAGCAATCTTGAGAACTCGTGAACTTGTGGCTGGTGTCTGAAGTGAGAGCAGTTCTTCTGGGGCTGTTCCCTTGGACTTTGCAGTTTGGCTAACTCCGTGCAAGCCACTGAATTTTGAAGTGAATTTGTCACAGCAGCAATAGAAACGTCATACAAAAACTAATAATACCTTAAAAAGAATCATAGGTAGAAATAGTTCAATGGGAGTGCCTCGCCTCGGAAAGACTTGGAATAGTATTGATGGGGAAAGTGGCAGAAGAGCAGAAAATGTTGAGGAAGAGCAAAGTGGCTGCCTGAGTGTAGAAGTGAAGTGGAGATGTTCACCTTGGGGTAGGACGCAGTGCAGTGTGAGGAACCATCCTAAGACTAGATAGTCTGAGAATAGAAAGACTTAAGGGACAGTGCCCCCATTACATTAGCCATGTGAGAGTTTCTCCAGGGCAGCATAGAGGATTTCCTTCCCAGGGCTTTTTTTTTTTTTTTTTCAAGTAGAGGCTAAAAAATCTCTCCTGGGTGCACTCACTGGTGAATATGCCTAAATCGTAATAAAACAAAAGTAACCAGAGCAATCTCTTTCTAGGGATTCATTAAAAATATACATATTTGGTAGTATAATAAGGAGTTTGCTTTGTGATATACGGCCTCTTGTATTACCCTCACCTACATTTATTATGCGATCATCATGGGTCCCAGCATGCTTATCTCTAAAGCCTATGACAGCCTTGGATAAAACCCAGAATAAATCATGCAAAATGACTCCTCTGAGTTGCTATGCATTTAGATCCTCTAAAGAGCTTTGTTTTCATCTTATTATTGACCCATATGAAAATATTTCAAGCAATCACACTTGAAAATACTTCTTCCAAATTTCCCATTGGCTGAGTTGAATATTCACACAGTGTGCAAAGAGCAAAAAGCAAACCTCATTTGTATTGGGAACAAATTGCTTTCCAGTAGACTCCAATGAGGAGGAAGGATTTTGAGGTTCGATGGGGAGTGGCCCAGTGCTAACCATTTCTAGCACTTCAGATAGGGCAGCCTTGCTTCAATGGCCTCTACCACCATCTCTCTTACCCATGCCATGTCCTATGACTCCAGAGCTTAGAGACCCTTGATGGAGGGATCCTCCGCTGTCACAGCCAAGGTTTTGTTTATGCTCCTTCCTCTAAAGTGACTGGCATCTGCTCACAAGATCAGGCATCCATTGTGAAAATCAGGATAGACACCATGCTGGCCATTTCCTGAATCATGCTAGCCAAATTTAGAGATAACAGCTTATTCTAACCAATAACAACAGCTTAACTACCACAACCTCTGAAGAAGAAAAAGGAGATCTCTTGGGATTGGTGAGAAAACACTGAATAAGACTTTGGGTTTGAGGCAGTCATGTCAGCCTCTTCCATGAAGCTTAATTGGTTTCTATGAAGATTATACCTTGCATATTATTTGACACTTTAGGCTTCATCTGAATAAAAGGAATGACATTTGAGTAAATATCAGCTTCTCAGCATCCCAAACAAGTAGCGTGTGATAAAGTGACATAAAAGAAGCAGCATTTGTATATTTTAATTTGCAGTTCTGAGTAAGGCAATGGATTGGACATGAGGGAATTCAGCTTTAGACTCGGTCCATGCTTGCTTTGGAAGCAACTCTGTGGCTTTGGAATTGTCATGCATGATCATATGGTGGTGGAAGAAGGAAACTTGCTAGACATTGTTTACAAGAAGGACATCATCTAGTCCTTCCCATTCTATCACTTTTCTAAGACCCAGAGAAGTGAAATATTATAGATAGGAATTTTGGAGGCAATTCAACCTTTTGAGCCAAATAGGTAGTATCACCTAAAAAGAATCAAATCTCAGTCAACTATGGATCCCCACAGATTAAGCCAGGTTCTACTCTTTCCTCTGAAGAGATAGGGTAAACCAATTTGCCAAAAGCAGATCCAACACGTTGTCTGTTCATTTTCTAAGATCACTAGTTTAGAAAATAATCTCCATTTATTTCATAAGAAGTACTGACATTTCCATTAAAATGTTCTCACAGAAGAAAAAGACACACTCAAATTCCCCTATAGATTTTCAAGGGGTCTTGTTCAGACAGCTATCTATTTTAACTCAAGCACCTCACAAAACTGGACGTAAGTCGGGGGTGGCTTATAAGTGGAGCATATCTATCCTTCCTCTTCCTCTACCCACAACCAACTTTGCTACTATGCACCTGTTCTCAAAGCCCTTTTCAAAACAGGACTTTGTCTCTTTTCCCCCCAGGTCAAAATTAAAGGTCTGAGTAAGCAATCAACTTAACAAACTGTTTTCAGTTTGCGGCCAACTAGGCTACCTTGAGAGTTCTCCCGAATCTTTTGAGAATAATGGCTGTATGGGTAATGCAATTTCTAAATATAGCCTCACAAATTTTCTCCAAGTGGTGTAGGTACTTGTCAGCATCATATTTATACCAAACAAGATTTAAGCAGATGCCATCTCAGAGTCAAACACAACTTCATTCTTCCTCTGTTGGGGATCACAGACATCAGAGTAGAGTAGGTGGAGGCCTTGCATTGCACAATTGTTGGGGAAAGTGTGCTGAGAGATCAAGTGAAAGTAAAAGAAATTTACCCATGGATGAGAGGGCCTAGGCACTTTGATCCTCATTGTCTACAACAATTCACTCTTCCCAAACACCCACTAGGACTTTTGTTCCTGCTTCTCTCATATTCAAACACCCACTAGAGCTTTTGTCCCTGCTTCTATAACAGCTGTCAAATACATCCTTCCCTTAACCACTGCCTAATAATCCTTAAAGCGAGGAGCCTATATCAACTTCCTGTTTGGTTTCTCCAAACTCCAATGTGTTTCATACTCTGCTGCCCAGGAAATCCCTCTGAAGCACACTCAAAATCTCCAACATATGTCACCTTCCAATCTGTATGCAAACTCCATAACCCAGCATATAAGTTCTTCCAAATTTTCTGCTCTTGCTCTAGGTCTTATTCAAATTTACTTATAGCCCCCTGAATACACTGTATTATTTCCTTTCCTGGGGCTGTTCCCCTGCTTCCTCCTCTTCTAATACCCGAATACTCTGCTTGGATTCAGATCAAATTCCAGTTATACCATGAAATATTTCCTGATTCTCTTCCCTGGGACCACTCACTCTTTCCCCTATGATCTCTTAGCAAATCAGGCAGCATTTTCCATCTAGTGTTGGTTACACTCTCCTTTATTTTATAGTTCACTAAATTGTGGACTCAGATTATAAAATTGTTATCTGATATAACTTAAGATCTGTCATTGCATGCATAACAGCCTGGCACATAACCCAAATACAATAAATACTGAATGATTCAGTCTGCTGCTCTGGCTTTTTCATTTTACCACCTGGTTGTTTATTTTAAAAGGCCTTATGGTGTGATGGTTAAGAGTTCATCCTTTAGGATCCAAACTATCTGGATTGGAATCTTATCTCTGCCACCTAATATCAGTGTGATCTTGGGCAAATTACTTAATGATCTGATGAGATGATAACATCAACCTCCTATGGTCACCACAAGAATTAAGTAAGTTTATATGAGTAAAGCATTTTTGAATAGTGTGTGGCATACAATAAACATTCAATAAAGTTTAGCAAGTTCATTTAGGTAAATTTTTCTACAGGCCTGTGATCCTGGAAGAGCAAGGGACATGGTGGTGATTTGCATTGAGCTTTGTTTAGAATGAGCCAGAAAATGAGAGGGTCTGGAGCAGAAGGGCCTGGCAGATTCTGCAGTCCAGAAAGACAGTGAGCCAGAATGAGGAAGTCCACTAAGAAAGAGGGATGAGGCAGGTCCAGAGTCCCAGATGGGGAGAAATCAGAGATCAGGAGGTTAGAAAGTCTGCAAGGGTAGTGCCATGAACAGCATGGAGAATATCTAGGCCCAAGATAGATTTGGCTTTTTATCTGCTCCACATCTGCTTTCTCTTCCAGGAATAGGCAGTCCCAGGAACATATAAAATAATACAGCCCAGCCCAGTGGAGGCAGTGACATAGATCTACCTCGTCTCGTGCTGACAGAGCAGGAATGCATGCAGCTCACGGAGTCCTTAAGTTAATCCAGTTAACAGATCAGTGACCATCTCAATTTACTACATTATATCATGCACTTTTTTTTAACCTCTGTGGTTATAGGTCGTCACTCTAGGCAATGTATGAGCTGCAAGAAATGTAACACAGAATGGTAATGCTTGGACTCTTCCTTCAGTGCCTGACTAATTTTCCCCCTGTAAAGCATTCAAAACACTTAAAATTATTATGTTATAGCTGAAAGAGAATGTTGTTAAAGCTTATAAAAATCATTTCAGTGTTAACTCTCCTGACTCGATCTTTTAAAATATTCCTCCTCAGAAGTTGCATATAATTTAACCAGAAAAGGCTTTTTATTTTTTTCCTGAAATCAACTGGAGTAACACACAATAGATGAATTAAGAAAAATAAAAGAACTGCTAGGTGAATATGGAATTTGGAATTGGAAGTGGTGAGCTTGGCTCACTGACCTCTTTGTTATAAAATGACCATTTGACCTGGGCCTCTGGCCCAAAGTATACTCTGCATTTTCCATGTGCTGAGAGGTGCCATACTCAACCAAATCCAGTTATCATTTTAAAAATGTTTTATCATTGCCACCATGGACCAACCAACCCAGAAAGAGTAAAAATCAGTTTAGGCAGAGTACACTTAAGGAAAAGCATTTTGACTCTCTTCAGAGTTCATTTCTCCCTCAAAAAGAGCTGCTTAAGATGCCAGATGGCTTCCTGAGGTCTGGAGTAGTCAGGAATTGTGCTTAAAGCCACAGGCCACACCACCTGACAAGGGGAAATGGAGCTGGACCCTAAGCTGCTGCTGCGGGAGGCCCAAGAGAGTGAGGAGCTAGTGAGAGCTACTGGCCAGAGCTAGACCAGAAGCTTAAGGGCCTGCAGGAGGCACAGGAAAAGGGTACAGATTTTAATTTTTCTGGGAATAGGGTATATACCCTCTCTCAAGATTTTCATAAAGGATAATGACTAAAACAAGATCAAAGAGTGAGCATCACAGACAAAGGATGTCCTAAAACAGCATTTTAATGATTTAAAGGAATCCTCGGGAAGCTCTGGGATGAGCAATTGAAGTCTCTTGCAAGAGCTGGGCACCATTAAACAGGGGACTATTAAGCCACTAGGTGACTGTCAGGAGTCATACAGCATGAAATTAACACCGCAGAGGACTTAATCCAAGAAAGTGAGATCACCATTGTTGGTGGCATGGGAGAACAGATTGAGAAACTGTGAACCGTTACCAAAAAGGCCTTCTGCATTTAGTTAGACAGGTTACCAGAAGTGTCTCTGCTGGTTGATGTGCCTTGTTTGTTTGCTCAGCTGAATGACTCAATTCTTATTTTAGTGAAAGGCTACATCTTTCACCATGGAATGGTGGCATCTCACCTACCAGTAGAAATGTAAGCACTAATAGAGAAAACTGGAAGCCTCATTGTATGATGATGTAAGATAGATGATGACACTATAGCTCAAGATTACAGATTCCAGCTCCATAAATGTACTTCAAATCATTTTAAGTATGTATGTGTAGGCTCTGAAACTGAATTTATAGCATTGCACATAGATCCCAATGTTGATTATCAGTTCAGAGTCTATGCCGGAGGGCAGAGGACCAGCTAACAGGAGTGGAGACCTTGGAGCATCCTCCAGATATGTTATTCCGTATTGATGCCTCCTGAGTGGACAGCTGGCCTTAAGGGGTATACTCTGAGCAACTGAAGAAATATATCACTCCAGCTTGATTCTGAATCCTTCTTCAGCACTCTAATTTATTTCCATGGGCAGACATTAACATTTAGAATTGAAACAGAGAGACGACTGGACAAAAGAGAGAGTATAGGCGTGTATCATAAAGCATCAAGTACCGCATCAAGAAACTATTAGCTCAAGTAACAAAGAAGTGGGTGTTGATTGGTTATGCGATCAATGGTATGGTTCTCTTTATATTGGATGCTCATTTTTCTATCTTGGGGGAAATTGTCAAGTGTTTTAGATTTTTTGGATAACTGTCCTTGGTTTGGAAAGTTTTAACACAGCTGTTCTTAGCCCAGTTTAGTTGTAATTGATAAAAATAGTTGGATTTGTCTCTCAGGCAATTGGAAATAGAAAATGTTTATTGGATTCATTTTAGAATATTTTTGCAATAAGATACTTGGATCATGTGGATAAAACCATAATGCAATCAATTTTATTTTTAGCATAGTGTTAATTAAAATATCATATCACAACAAAAATCAAATTGGCCATAAATATATGAGTTCATAAAGGCCTATACCCTTCCACTGTATTTCTTTTTAATGGTTATTAGAACATAAAAACTTAACATAACCATATTTTATTAAAACTCTATCTTTTAAGGGTCCAAGACCATGTAAAATGTTTAAATAATAGGAATAGACTTATAAAAGCCAGAGTTCTGTAAATATGTTAACCATATGCAATCTATATATGTGTGTTGAACATACTTTCTATATCCAGGTGTTTTGAAAATAGTGGTGAATTTTATCTCGTGTTCAATAATCTTTAAGTTCGCGAAACATTATAATTTATGCATTTTTGAATGCCTGGGCAACTATTTACTTTAATTAATGTGCTTTCTTTTGTTGTTTCTTTGCAATTCAATTCAAGAGAGGCTAAAGGATTTTTACAGGGTAAAACTACTTGTGGAAGTAATATGTGCAGCACAATGTCACATGCATGTAATATACACATGTGCATCTCTAGCCACAATGATAAGCTTGTACAATTTGTAGGACGCAATTTGCAGTGTTGTTTAATGTAAGCTTAATAAATGGTATTTTAGTGTACCAAAGAAGCATAGGGTAAATACTTAACCTATTTTTTGAAAACTTAAATTGTATAAAATATCTGAAGCATTCATTTTGTATGTAAAAATAGTGGTCTTAACTTGCTATACAAGCTTACAAATGTTTATTTTCTATGTAATTTTTTTCATTTTTGCCAGTAGAAAAGTGTTTGGGAAAGTAAATTTGAATTTTTTATAAGTTAATTTGAGAGTTCAAATTTTAGACAATCATGAACTTTTTCCTTTGTCTTTTTATATGTAAATAGCCTTTCATTCAGCTAATGATTATTAGGAAGATGTGCTAGAATGTAGATGCCTTGTTCAGCTGTCTGAAAAACGAAACTGAAAGAAAAAAAGCAAAAAATAAGTTGCTTGACACATAGACCCCAAGCTCCTAGCTCTCTCCTATCTTTCATGCCTCTACCATTTACTTACCCTCTGTTCTCTCTCCCCTTCCCTCTGTCTTTCATCCACACCAGACACAGGCTGCTTTCAACTTACGACCTCATCTATCCATGCTAAAGGGTATTACCAATCACATTTATGGTGGAGTATTAAAGTGATTCACCATCTTAGGCAAGTGCAGTCTTGGTGAGACAAGGAAATTTGCAACATAATGTGGAAAAATATACTGCTGAGCACTCAGAGAAATATAAAAGTGGCATGACTCAAGATAAAGCCCAGCCCTCATTCTGGTTTGAGAGAGAATACCAGTGTACTTGGAATAGTACTATTAACACATGATAATGTATTTAAAGGCAATTTAAATGTTCTAAGCTATAAATGCTTCAAAGATTCAAAATAAAAATGGTCAGGAATGACTATAGTGATCAAAGAAAGGTTCTTTGAATGAGCTGAATGGCCCCTAAGGATTGATATGATTTGGCTATGTAGAGGGAGCACAGAATATGATTGCGTGGTAGCAAAGATATGCAAACATGATAAATAAGCATAGCACCTTTCTGTAATGACAAGGGTGCCTAGAGTGGGTAGTGTCACGTTCTAAAGACCAGGCAGCTCTGTACTGAGAAGAGTTCTGAATAGCTGAAGTTAGAAGTGAAGCATGTAGAGGTGGAAAATACAGAACCACTGCATGAAATTTTGTTTTATTTTTGTTTTTAAAGCAAGATTATAATATAAATGAGATGGGTGCTTTTATAATATTATTCTGGGCCAATTATGAACATCTGCCCATTTGACCAAAGTATACAGCAATGTATCCTCATATTGTAGGATCATACCAACCCAGAGCTGAGAAAGACTTGGAGATCACCCAGATCACCTTTTTTCTTTATGAATTGCAAACACGCTGTTTATGAGCAGAATGTGGCCCATAGGCATTTTGAATGGCACAAAGAATGTTTTAAAATTTTGAACGAATATTTTTAAATTGGGAGGCTCCCCATGAAAATCTGGATTTGTGGCTTCACCTAAAAAAGTCAGATAAGGCACAGACAATTCCACCTCTGCATGAAAATAATGTGCTGTGGCCGAACAGTGGCTGCCTTCCTTGGATAGTGTGTGATGACTCCAGGTTGATGCTATGACCAGCTGGGAAGTCTTATTAGTCAAAGTAGGCACTATAAACATTGGTAACAAATAAATATGAAAATTTAAGTAGCTTAAATCTACAAAGGATTATTTCACACTCAGGTAGTGTGGGACAGACACTGTCTTTCACTTCATAGGTTTGTCATCTGGAACATTTGGCTTCTAAGGCACTGTGGAGAAAATGGGGGGAAAGATGCTGGCTTCTAATTGCTTACTTCAGATAGTATACCTGCCACTTCCCCTCCCAGCTTATTGGCCAGGCTAGTCATACGACTCCAGCCCATCTGCAGGGAGGCTAGGAAATGTAAGTAGGGAAAAACATAACATTAGTAAGGAATAGGTCAGCCATAGAAGAAAAGTTGTGTTGAATGAAACATACATTCGTTTGAATGTAGAATTGGAGTTGATGGCAGGATAGCCATCCGAACACTTGATAGTTAGAAATATGAAACTGGAACTTGAGAATGAAGTTAAAGTAGAGAGAGATTTAAGAGTAACAAGCTTAAAGGGGGTAAAGTGAAGTGTGCGTAAGGGAGAGACATGGAAATAACAAAGCTTTACATAAAAGTTGAACCTGACAGCTGGGAAAGGTTATTTTGAAGACTGAGTGAACAAATTTCTTGTACTTATAAATTTTAACTAAGACACTAAACTCATCCCAATTTCCCTAAGCAGACTTTAAACATTCAAAATTTATAATATGTGGACATCTAGGGGCATGATTGAGAGGGAGTTTAGGGGCCTGGGTGACAAAAGAACTGTAGGAGTAACCAAGACTAATTGTTGAAGTAAGATGCCAATGACTTACATACCCATGATATTGCAGATACAGACATTGTAGAGATGACTGGAGCCTTGTTTACTACTCTTATTGCAGACATGGAGGTTTATCACAATGAATTGGGCTACTGAAAAGGGTCCTTTCCTTCTAGTTGAGCGGACTGTTGTAATTGCATCCTCTTCATCCCACTGATGAGGAATGGATTCCTGTCTTGGGTTATGAGAACGGATGACACATGACACCTGCCTCTGAGCAGATGAGACTGACAGCAGTTTACTAGTCACATACACTCACAGCCTGGGGAGGAGGACACTGCCACGCAGGGTCACACATAGTTGCATCTAGGAGCACAGCAAACCACCAGGGCAGTGGGAGGCAGATTTTGCAGTATCAAGAGGGTGGGGTGACTCCTGGATCCCAAGAAAAAGTGATGGTCTTGCTTGAGTAATTCAAGCAGGCAAGGAACCAAGCCTGCTGCTCAGCAATAAGCAGGGATGGGTGCCTGGTCCCCATGAAAAGGGGGGTGATTTGGCTAGGAGATCTTATTCCTGCTCCTGGGAATAAGATGTCCCGTAAGGAATCTTATAGGAGAATAAGGAGGGGAACTTGCAGTTAGGCCATTTGGAGCACTTTGGGTTTGCCCCAGATGTAAGGGAACACATAATAGTAGGCCTTAATTATCAGCCTAATTTCAAATGAAAGAATCAGGTTGTTGATGGGAAATAAAAAGCAAATTACAGCAGCTAAGAACAGTGTCTGGAAAGGAAGAGACTATGGCAGGCATAAAATAGTTGTTTCAGAAACTCAGTGGTGAAAGGAAAGACTAAAGGAAGGTGATGGTAGGTAGATAAAACTTGGTGGGGTAATATCCCTCCAGTTTCCTACAGGAGCCGTAACGCCACATCTTTATTTACTTTGTGTCAGGAAGTATGTGACATGCTGTATATTATCATATTTAAATTATCTCTAAAACTGTGAAATCGTCATTGCTGTTATGAGGAAATAGATACTCAAAGAGGGGTTGCACATAAGTACTGGGGACAGATGTTTGCCTGTAGTGATTTTATTGAGGAAAGAATGTGTGGGCAAGTGGGCAGAGGACTGGGCAGAGGAAGAAGTTGAACTGCAATGCAGTTTCGACAAAGACCTCAGACACTCTCATAGGAAGGTACGGAACTGGAATGGCCCTTCAGATTTTCCCAAATCATGGCAAAGAAGAAGGGCTTTGTACCCTGAATCAACAAATCATTGCAAGCAGGCTGTCCCCAGAGAGGAAATGTAACCTTGGTTAGGTAGTTCCCTTTAGCTGGGGGCAATCCCAGAGAAAGTCTCCAGCCACCAACATTCTCATCAACTGGGAGAAGGGATGCTGCAGCCCTGAGGATGAGGATCCGAGTGCTGTTCCACAGAATTCACTATGAGGGATTAAACAACTTGTCCATGGCCACACAGTTACCACTTTTTGTTGCCAGTACTCAAGTCCAGATCTCTCTAATTTCAAATCCATGTTCCCCTTACTATTCTGCAAGTAACTCTGCTCTAATGCAGAAGTAGGAAAGGAATGTCTTCCTGGAAATGCTATGCTAAGTGAATCTGCAAAATAAAGTCAAAGCACAATCCTCATGAAAATATATTCTGGGCAGCATATATTTGGAATCATGGCATGTCTCTAGATATTGTGGTTCTAGTTTCCATTTACTTTATTGTTCATTCTTAATGATTGGATGCCCTCTATTCAAAGGACTTTCCCCAACCTGTATCTGAAGGATGATTTTGACCATCTGCTGCCTAAAACAGTTCCTTGATTGTGCTTACTTGCTTTGGGCCACCATAAAACATATATATATATACACACACACACACACACACACATATATGTATGTGTGTACATATATATGTGTGTGTATATATATGTGTGTGTATATATATGTGTGTATATATATTATCAATGTATATGTGTGTATATATATTATAAATGTATATGTGTGTGTATATATAACATATATACAGCAAAAGTTCTACTTTTAAAGTAATTTGTCTTGGCACTTCCGTGCCACTTCCAATGTTACCACATGCATGTCCTTATGAGTAAACAGTATTCATTAAAATGGAAGGCTGATTTTGACCATCTGCTGCCTAAAACAGTTCCTTGATTGTACTCACTTGCTTTGAGCCACTATAAAACATATATATACATATGTATGTGTGTGTATGTATATACATATGTGTGTATATATATGCATGTGTGTACAGATGTGTGTATATATATTATATATGTACATACATGTATATATGTGTGTGGGTGGGTGTGTATATAATATATATAGCAAAACTTTTACTTTAAATGTAATTTCCCTTAGCCCTTTTGCAACACTTCTAATGTTACCACATGCATGTCCCTATAAGTCAAAAGTATTCATTAAAACACAAAATGATGACAGAAAATAAGACTATGGGGAAGTAAACATAGAGACCGGTGTTATGAAAAATGATGAAAGAAAACTCAGTATGTGCCCTAGAGATCTCTGGCAACAAACGAAGTCAGTAGGTCATTCACATGTGATGGGTTTCGGTTTATACAGAGCTAATGAAATAATGTTCAATTGCCATTTTCAGTGATAAGAAAAAAAGTAGATATTAAGTGTGCTGGTTAGTAAAGTGATAAATATGTAGGGGTGTGTGTGTGTATGTGTTCACACAATAGTGTTATAAATAGCATCCTATATTCCACCTCCCTGTAAAATAGTATGAAAAAGAATCACTCCATTTGAACAACACACCAAGGTATAGTAGCAGGGTTGCCCAGTCTGCTGTAAAGAAGCAATTCAACTCGGCTGCTCATTGTCCTGACTTAGTGTCAAGCTGGCGGGAGACAGGAAGAAAAGAAAATCCTATCCAATTCCCAGTCTTCCTCACCTAAAAATGGAGAGAACGTTTTTTTCTTCCTCAGAAGTTCAGATGCCAACTTGAAAAGCCAAAGAACAATTTTACCAACTGGAGTTTCAAAAAATTTGAAATTCTTTGGGCAAAGCAATCTCCTGTGGCTAATTATCTTAACACTTTGTACTTACAGATCGCTTCACCTCTGCTGTTTTACCTGCAGCCCACTTTTGCAGATTATGTAGCAAAAAAGACAGGAAAGTCCATGGCTTTTCAAGATCAAGAACAGATCAAGGGGTTAGACCCACAACTTTCTTATTTCCAGGAATTGAGCTTCTACTGCTAGGCTCGATCTGTCTGGAATGCCCTGTTTATGTTCAAAGGCTGTTGTAAGGCCTTTATATAGAACATCTTTTACAACACTGTCAGAATCATGTTGTTGTTTAGTCTGTTTCTTTGTAAATTTATTACAGTAGCAGCTTAATTCATGTAAGTCTCTTCATTCTGGTTACTGAATTAATCCCTTTTATTATGTGTGTGCTGATAAAATCTGTCTTCCAAAGCCACAGAATGAAGGACCAGTCCTGATCCTTGGCGAGCTGACTAACGAAAATTCTGCTTTGGAGGGTCTCTTGTCAGCCCACCCCCTGGAGACTACTTACAGTGCTGGGTGTAGCACATGAAACTGTCCAAAGCAACTAGTCACCAAGGCATTAAATCAAAAGTGTTGGTTAAATGGGCTTTATGGTGATAATGTGTTAGAAGACTTCCTTAAACCAGTCTGGGAAAGCAGCCAAGCAGTGTAAGCCCCCTGCTTCTTTGTAGGCTCACACTTTATCAGTTAGGCTGTCTTCCATCTCCCTGGGGCAGAAGTAAGTTGATCATGTTCTCAGCAATTCAACTTCTTATGGAAAGATTATTAAGACTTATCCTTGAGTTCTGAATAAATTTTTGAGTGTTTTCTGTGAAATTCTACATAGTTAATGAGAGGATTTGGGTTAGACGGTGTGCATTTGCCCATACTGCTGCTTGGTGTTAGTTAAATGCTCAGCTTTGAATGTCTCCATTGACCTTCCTGAAGTAATACAATGCCAATCGCTGGCTTCAAGATGCTCAACTCTGTGGTATGTCTGCCCCTTACTAGCTTAGGATACATCTTATCTTTGTGGGATTGTTATCTTTAGTTTTCTAACAAATCCAGCAAAGCAATCCAGTTTCCTCAGTCAAGATTGAAATGTCTGTCTAATGCCCAAAGGGAGCACCCCTGGAATGGTCAAGCAGCAGCTCGGTGTCTCGCACTGAATAGGCTTCTGGAGAGCTGTGAACCCATCTTTTACATCCCCTGTTGGGAAGAATGTGAGAGTAGTGGGGAGTTGGAGCTCCTGTTTTAGATTGAAAAGCCAGAAAAAAAGAAAAAAAGGCTTTGGCCACTAAGAGTATGAAAGCCACAGCTTTGCAAGGACAAAGGGCTTGGAAACTTTGAAATCTGTGAAGGTGTAGCTGAATGATATCAGCTTTGTGCAAGTGCCTGAATTCACAGATTGTGGTTTAGATAAATGATCAGTGGCTTCCTTGTTCATTCAAAATAGTGGCCAGAAAATTGCCAGTAATTTCCGTGATAAATCAATGATCACTGCTAACCTGATCACAGATATGCAAAGCTGTCAGCAAGTTGAGGGCCCCAGTGCTAGCCATGTACCTGTCTCTGGGATCCCTATTAAGCAAACTGAACTTCAAAAACCTCTCTCAGGTAGTGAATAAAGTCAGGATGTAGTAGGTCAAATTCACCATCACGGGCGTCTGAACCAAAATAGGTCTGAAGCTTTTCCCATTTGTGGAGGCCCTCAGGGGCAGGCACACTCAGAGTGTGGCATCTCAGCATCTGGTGTCGGAAGGGGTAAAGATAGAGTGCAGGTCCAGTCCTTGGTGCACTGTGGTGAAGTCCAGCTGCTGTAGAAGATGAAGGAGTTCATCGTCTTTTCACTGAAACCGCAGAAGGAGGTCTTGGCGCCACATGGTCCTCAAAGCCTTCTCTGTCAGTACCAGGGACTCTGAAGACATAGTCGTGGGCTTCGATGCGGCGGCCCTGGCGGGGCCATTCAGGACACCTCCACCTCCGTTAGCCACCTTGGTGCACGGAATGCAGTAGGGATGTGGCTCCTTGGAGGTGGCGTACAGCTCAGCATTCTCAAGAGCCATTCGGACTGCTCAGGATTGTGGCCATGGCTTGGCAGGGTGGGTGAGGAGGCAGCATGGGGAGCTCCGAGCTGTTTCAGTCTGTCCCAGAGCTCCTGGGTGAGAAGACGCTCTGGCAGTACCTGGGTGAGAGATTGACCGGTCGCAGGGTGTGTGCCCGTCTCTGCAGAGCCAGTCCTATGGGGATAGTGGGGGTCAGGGCTTCTCCGGGCTGGCTACCCCACTGCGAAGAACCAGCAGAAGAGGGGTCCGGAGCAGGTAACCCAGAAGGAGCAGGCATCAGAGTCTCCACAGAAACCCCCTGTGCCTGCCGCTCCACTCTGCACGCCCTTCCCTCCCTCCCTGCCCTGCAGCCAATCATAATCATTTTGCTCACTTCAGTGCAGTCTACAAGGTTTAGTGCAGCAGGAAGAATTTCCCTATTCCACAGAGGAGAAAACAGGCGCTCACGAGGTCATGTCCTTGCCCAATGTGTCAGGAATTGGTTCCCTTCCCCTCCCCATCACTCCATATCTCTCTGGGTTCTATACTAATTTTCCTTTTCCTTTCCTTTTCTGTCCTAAACCTGTATACTCAGAGTCCAGAAGAGCCCATTTGCTGGGAAAGTGATGCACATGATTATTTTATTTCAATAATCATTGAATGATTATTGAATGAACAAAAATTCATTCACCCTTACCTAACGCTAAAATCCATACAAGAACATTTGCAAGTTTTGCTTTCTTTGCCTATTGTGGATTGACTTTTCAATCCTTCATTGTTATTTACAAAATGCAATTTTAAAAAATTGAAATGTTTTAACTCCTTTTTTATTTCTGATTAAATCTATTTTATATTTTAAAAGACAGTTGGTTTCTATCTTTGTTAGAAAAGGTAGGTATATACAAAGAGGTAACATACAGCAGTGTCCCCACTTTAATAAATTATCTGGATTAGCAATTCAAAAAATATTTTTCATATCTTATCTGCCTTAAATAATATTCTAAATCATTTCTATGAGTTTTTGAAAGACTTAAAAATGAGTAATTCTAATTTACTTTCAATTGTTGAGTATATTGTTCATCTCAACCGTTGAGAAAACAAAAGAACAATAGATGAATATCTCCATCTAGAGCCTGTTTAGGAAAAATGTAATTGCTCAAAAGAAAAATCATTCTGTATTCTGATGATGAGCTGCAATGCAACAGCTCATTAATATGTCAGGAGAAAACATCGCCAACATGACTAACCTGTTTCGGAGGGACATTGTGTGATGGGGTTTATATCCCCCAGGATGCTGGTTTGGTTTCTATAAATGTGTCCTAAGATTGCTAAGCACAAAGTAATTCAATGCTTTACAGCTCAAATGAACCAAATGGAGCTCTAATTTCTCTCTGTGTCTAATACCATCCCTGCAAAAGCAGCAGATAAATAATTTGGTAAGATAAGCTGATAAATAATGTGGTTAACTTCCACCAGAAAAATGAGCAAAGGGTGCATTGGAAAGAAAAACGACACTTGAGCCAATCTTTACAGTTCAAGGAGAGCCTCCTGGATAAGCTGATACATGAATTAAATCATAAAAGGGTACTTTTAGTTTTAATTATAATTCTATTTAATTTGTCTTTGTGTAAGTTTTCTATTTTAATTATAAAATTGACACACACACACCCCTCATTTTATCTCCTCCTTCATCTTAGTCTATCATCTACTCATTCTCTACTTGTTTACCTCTACTTATTCCATTTCTATTAGTGGCTTCCCCTTGGATTATGACTTGTGCTAAAGATACCCACAATTCTCAGTTCTTATTTTACTTATTTGATTTGTCAGTTTTGTTGGCATTGTTTACTATTTCCTCCTTCCAGACACTCTTTCTTTCCTTGGTTCTCATGGAACTAAATGGTAGGACATCTATCAATGCTTCATTCATACCCCTTAAACCTTTAATACTTCCGTGTGTGACAGCCCAGACTTAGAACCATCAGCACCAGACACTCTTTTGCCACATGTGATAAAACTAGAAGGGCCAGAGAAATAACAACTCCCGGGAACAGCCCTTAACCAATGACTAACTGCAGCTGGTGTACAAGTATGCAAGCTCCTTCACTCCTTAGGCAAGATATCTCTGGGTCAGAAGCCTATGTCAGTTCTGAGTTCCACACTGAAGTTGAGCTTTAGTTGCTCACAACTGTAACTTGTTTGATAACACACCCCTTATTGGTTTTTTCCTCTTCTCTGTTTCACCTTCTCACTCCCCTGTTATTACTTCCTAAGACCATTCACCAAATAATTTTCTTGCACACAAATCTTATCTTGGGTCTGCTTCTTAGAGAATCCAAACAAAGACAAACTTTTAATTCTGTAATTCCTTCTCTGAATTGTTCTATTCTGTGTTTTATTTTTCTTGCTGAATCTTCTTCTGTGAACTCTTTAAATATGGAAGATTTTTAAGGTTCTATTACTTTATAGAGCTCATCCATGTTTCCATCTACAATCTATAGGCCAATAACTCTCAAATCAATTTTTCTAGCTCTAGTATATCTTGCAAAATCCAATTTCACCAGAATATTTCTGTTCCATACAAAACTGTGAACTCTTGGAGAATTGGCCTATATATTTTTATTTGTTTCTGAACTTTGACATAGCACCTGACATATCATAGATATTGAGAAAATAATATTTGAACTGATTAGAAGATGAAAGCACAAGACAAATGTTAATGTATTGCTTAGAAGCAAGTACTAGAATTATTCAGTGCCTACATAATAACAAAAGAAAGTCTATTTGGTCAATTCCTACAAAATATATCCAAATCTGTGAAGAAGAAAGAAGAAGAAGGAGAAAGAGAAGTAGCAGAGGAGGAAGAAGACCTGCTTCTTTAGAGCATGAGAGCATAAATAGCCAGCTAACTAATTGAGCTTTTTGTGTTCTAATTGACTTTGTTGGCAAATTCAACAATTTAAATATTAAGAGCTAAAAGTATTTAATAGCTGTACTTTTGTTACCCTTTTAGTTAATCAGCTATTCAAAATCTATCTTGCCTAAGTGAGGCCAGTCTTTCCAGATTTCAGGAGATTTGTCAGCCATCAGGAACCATATTTCTTATGTTTAAAATAAATGGAAGCACCATCAAGTCCTCTCTTTTACATTTAGAAAATGGAAGGCTGCCAGACAGTATGCCCATATCAATAGCTGATATTTAAATAGCTATTTTCTTAATGCCAATACAATATTTTATGTTTAAAAATCAAGGTTGTGAGCAATAAATTAGGCACTTTTTTTTTTCCTTTTTTTGAGATGGAGTCTCGCTCTGTCACCCAGGCTGGAGTGGAGTGGCATGATCTTGGCTCACTGCAGTCTCCACCTCCCAGGTTCAAGCAATTCTCTGCCTCAGCCTCCTGAGTAGCTGGGATTACAGGTGCCCACCCCACACCCAGCTAATTTTTGTATTTTTAGTAGAGACAGGGTTTCACCATATTGGCCAGGATGGTCTTGAACTCCTGACCTTGCGATCCACCCGCCTTGGCCTCCCAGAAAGCTGGGATTACAGGCGTGAGCCACTGTGCCAGGCCAGGCACTTTTTTTCTATGAGTCTTTTAAAGAACCATCCTCTAAAATAGAAGACTGTTAGCACTTATTGCAATTTAAGCCTGCTGCCTTATTCCATAGGAGAAGAAACTGAGGTCCAGAAACATGAAGCAACTTTTTCTAGACCACAGCACAAGTGGCAAGCTGAGACTGAGATGCTCACCTCCTGATCACATTCAACTTTCCTACCCCATTTGTATTTTGCTTCAAAACTGTAAAGTCAAAGAAATGTGATAACTTTGCATCTCTTGAACTTGCAGGGAAAATTTTGTTAAAATTAGAACAAAACTCAGGGCTGAAAGAGACTTTAGAGATTACTAAGTGTAACACTTTTTCCTGATGAATATACTTACTTCATAATATCTGGTTTATAATTACTTGATTTCTAGTCCAACATGTAAAAAGATTGTGGTCATCACTTTCATCTTCAAAACCGTGAAAACACTGAACAAACTAAAAACCAACAACTCTTCCTGGATCTGTCAGAGAATTGAAGTCATAAGGAAGACTGCCACCCTGAAAACTGGAGAGACAGGTGAGCAGAGATAATCACAGCTTACCAGAAGCAAAAAGCCACTGCTGGAGCCTAGTAGAAATACATAAAGGGTATTTGCTCCAAACTAATTGCTGGAGACTAAACATTGACTACACTGAGAAATAAGAACTCCTTTCTTGAGTTTCACCTACAAGCACTGCAATGGCTTCTCACTGTGAAGATCTGAGAAATATCCCATTATGATTCTGGCCGGGGAGAGGGAAGAGTAACCATTTTGAAGCAAGTCCAGAGTACTCTGTTCCCCTTAACAACCGCCTGCCCTCAAGGAAAACTATTTTACCGGAGCCAAAGTAACCCTGGTTTTATCAGAGCCTATCTGATGAGAAGGAAGGTAATTACCCAACTCCAATCTCCTTCTGCCATCCTGTCTCATCTAAGTGGGAAAGGGTAAACTGATAAGCTCTTGTGAAGATCACAGCTCAGGGACATAGGCTCACTGCAAGATTGAAACCTAATCATATGATTATAGAATAGTTCCTCTTGCCCTAAACCTTACTACCATGCCACTAGGGCTTCTGTAGAATAACAGGGGATCAGGCTGGGCGCAGTGGCTCACACCTGTAATCCCAGCACTCTGAGAGGCCAAGGCAGGTGGATCACTTGAGGACAGGAGTTTCAGACCACCCTGGCCAACATGTTGAAACCCGGTCTCTACTAAAAAAACAAAAATTAGCTGGGCGTGGTGATGCACGCCTGTAATCCCAGCTACTGGAGAGGCTGAGGCAGGAGAATCACTTGAATCCAGGAGGCGGAGGTTGCAGCGAGCTGAGATTGCGCCACTGCACTCCAGCCTCGGAAACAGAGTGAGACTCCTTTGCCAAAAAATAAAAAATAAAATAAAATAAAGAAACAGGGGATTACAGCTGAAACAATAGCAAGGCTTATACTGTACTTAAGGTGGAGTTTCTAGGAAAACTCAGGACAATTAGGGAGATAAAAAGGACATTAAAGGAAATTTTAGCCTCTGAAACCACAGCAACAGCAAAGAGTAAACACAGCCTTACTCCTAGCCAAGTAAACATAAACCCTAACACCTAAAATCTGTGTTTCTCAATTGCTTTTACCCAGGGCATCATGTCTCACTGTCAACAAAAATGTATGCTAAGAAACAAACAACAACAACTGAACACCCACAGTCTGGAGAAACAAAGCAAGCATCTGAAGCAGTCTCAGATTTTGTGATTCTCAGACCAGGAATTTAAAATAACTCTAAAGGAAAAAGTGGACAACGTGCAAGAACACATGGGTAACGTAAGCAGTGAGGTAGAAATTTTAAGAGATAATAAATAAATAGAAAACAAAAATAAAAATACCTCTGATGGACTCACCCATAGACTGAAAATGGCCGAAAGGAGAATCAATGAGCTTGAAAATATGTCAGTAGAAACTTCCCAAATTGAAAAGTGAAAAGAAAAAAGAATGAGAAAAATGGAACTCAATATCCAAGAACTGTTTGAAAATTTAAAAAGATGTAACATATGCATAATGGGAATATCAGGAGGAGAAGAAGGAAATAACAGATCAGAAGAAATATTTGAAGCAATAATGGCTGAGTATTTTCCAAAATTAATGACAAACACCAACCACAGATTGAGGAAGTTCAGAGATCAAGGAGGACAAATTTCAAAAAATCTCTAACGAGGCTTATTATATTCCAACTGAAGTAAATAAAAAAAAACAAAGAGACAATCTTGAAAGAAGCTGGGGGAGTGGGGGTACCCACCACATCCATAAAGGAACAAGAATCAAAATTATAGTGTACTTCTCATCAGAAATCATGTAACAGGAAGACCCAGGAGTGAAATATTTGAAGTGTTGAAAGAAAAATTTTTTAAAAACTAGAATTGTATATCCAGTGAAATTATTCTTAAAAAGTGAAGAAAAAGTAAATACTTTCTCGCCAAATAAAGAGGGAGATAATTAGCTGCCAGGAAGCTTGCCTTGCAAGAAATGTTAAAAAGAAGTACTTCAGAGAGAAGAAAAATGATAGCTCAGAAACTCAGATCTGTATAAAGAAGAGCATTAGACAAGGAATAAATGAAGGTAAAAAATTATTTTTCTTCTTAATTAACAGATAACAGTTTGTTGGAAATAATAATAGCAACATTGTATTGGTTGACTATGGCTTATGGATATAAGTAATGACAGTAATATAATAAGAAATGGGAAGGAGGAATTAGGAATTTCCTGTTAAAAGGTATTGGTACTACTCCTGAAGCAGTATAGTGTTTTCTATTTCAGATAGAAAGTGGACTTAGAGTAGTGGTAAATGTATGTTGCAAACTCTATGGCAACAACTTAAATAATTTTTAAAAGAAGCATAATTGATACGCAAGAGAAGAAGAAAATAGAATCATTTCAAATGCTTATTTAAAAGCAAAGAAGGCAGAAAAAGAGTGAGCAACAACAACAACAAAAAGAAACAAGCAACAAGGACGATGAATAGAAAATTGTTGCAAATATGATAAATATTAACCTAATTATATTAATAATCACTTTAAATTTCAGTGGTAAAAACATAAACTGTTAGAGTGGATTTAAAAAACAAGAACCAATTATATGCTGTTTATAAGAAATTAGGCAGGGCACATTGGCTTATGCCTGTAATCCCAGCACTTTAGGAGGCCAAGGTGCGCAGATCACTTGAGCTCAGAAGTCCCAGACTAGTCTGGGTAAGATGGCAAAACCCTGTCTCTAGAAAAAAAAAAAAAAAATACCAAAAATTAGCTGGGCTTTGGTGGCGTGTGCCTGCGGTCCAAGCTACCAGGGAGGCTGAGGTGGGAGAATCACCTGCACCTGGGAGGTCCAGGCTGCAGTGAGCTATGATCACACCACTGCACTCCAGCCTGGGTGACACAATGAGACCTTGTCTCAACAAAAATAGAAGAAATCAGCCTTAAATCAAAAGGCACAAACAGATGGAGGGATGGAGAAAGACAATCCATATTAACACTCAGCAAAAGAAGCTGAATGTAATATTAATTTCAGACAAAGCCAACTTCTTTGTTTGTTTTTGTTTTGTTTTGTTTTGTTTTTTGAGATGGAGTCTTGCTCCACTGCCCAGGCTGACATGCAGTGGTGCAATCTCGGCTCACTGCAACCTCTGCCTCCTGGGTTCCAGTGATTCTCCTGCCTCAGCCTCCCAGGTAGCTGGAACTACAGGCACACGCCACAATGCCCAGCTAATTTTGTATTTTTAGTAGAGACAGGGTTTCACCATGTTGGTCAGGCTGGTCTCGAACTCCTGATCTCAGGTGATCCACCCGCCTCGGCCTCCCAAAGTGCTGAGATTATAGGAGTGAGCTACCGTGCGCAGCCACAAAGCCAACTTCTGAGCAAGGAAAATTATCAAGGATAAAGAGGGGCATTACATAATGATAAAGGGGTCACTTTACTAAGAAGGTATAATAATCCCTAATGTGTATGCACCTTGTCATTGGAGATAGATCCAGCAGGCAGAAAATCAGTGAAGTATAAAATTGAACTGATCAGTGCTATCAAATAATTGGATCTAATTGACATTTATAGAATATCTCATCCAACAACAGCAGAATAGACATTCTTCTCAAGCTCTCATGGAACATTCATCAACACAGACTACATTCTGAGCCACAAAACACATCTTAACAAATTTGAGGAGTAAAAATCATACAATGTATGCTTTAGACCACACTGGAATGAAGTTACAAACAATAACAAAAAGATATATGGAAAAATACCAAAATATTTAGAGATTAAACAATACACTTCCAAATAGCACATGGACCAAAGAAGAAATCTCCATATATTTTTAGATATTTTAAACTACATGAAAATAAACATATAACCTTAAAATTTGAAGGATACAGTGAAAGCAATACTTACAAGGACATTTATAGCATTGAAATGTATAAATTAGAAAAAAGATCTAAAATCAATAATCTAAGCTTCTATTTTAGGATTTTTTTTAATGAGCAAATTAAACCCAATGTAAGCAAAAGAAAAGAAATAACAAAGATTAGAGCAGAAATCACTGAAATTGAAAATGCCATCAGAAATAGTCTAGTCTTATAAAAGAAGGGAAAAATGGAGTTTTAAGAGACACACAGAGGAAGACAGACACAGAGGAAAAGGCATGGAGCAGAGTGGTGTGTCCACAAGCCAAAGAATACCTGTAGCCACCAGAAGCTGGAAGAAGCCAGGAAAAAAATTCCTCTGTATTGCCTCTGCTGACGGCTTGATTTTGAACTTCTGGCCTCCAGAACAGTGAGAGAATAAATTTCTGTTCATTCGAGCCACCAAATTTGCGATCATTTGTTACAGCAGCCAGAGGAAACTAATACAATACTCAACGGTTAGTTTTGGGGGCAAAATTCCCAAGGAAAACACTATGCAATTAGCCAAATACTAGCTAATGACATCAGGATGCAGGAAATCATTTAGACTGAATTGTCGGTGGAAATGACAAATACTGGCCTGTCAGCATATTCCAGAAATCCTAAGTACTTTTCTCATAAAGAGTTTTTTTTTTTTTAGTTGAGAAGATTTGATAAATGGCTGTGCTTCTTTTTAAAATTTACATTGATTATATTGAATTGGCTCTTGAAAATCCCATCTACTTGTTTGAGTCTAGTCAGACTGTACATGCTGCTTACAGTAGGCTTGAGTATGAACAAAAAGAAAGTGAATTTATGATAGAGCAACATCAATTGTGAAGGCATAGTCAGCCAACTCAGATAAATTAACTTGCATAGGCCTTTGCTTGCAGGTTTGCAATAGTGTATTTTTACCTGGTTCCTGTACTACATATTTCCCTATCTGAACATTCAGAAAATCGTCAACACTGATTTTCCTCCCTTTTCTATCAACAGTTTTACTCAGGATTTTCAAACCTTGTCACTGTGTTCTTACTGAAATTTTCTCAGGCTTCAAGGTCAAGCTCAAAGCCACAGGAATTCTGAAATTCACACAGCTTCCTCTGCTTTCCAGTGCATGCTAATGAGATCTCTTCTTAGGATGAAGTTCATTCTGTCTTGAAGTATATTTAATGTTTATTTGTCTGTCTTCCCCATCAGGCCAGTGATTTTCAATCTGGACTAGGGTGGTAGTTGGGGAGAGTACAGGACCACCTGGAAAGCCTTGTCTGTGGTTCATCCACCTGTTCCCATCCTGGATTTTCCCGGGGAAAATCCAGAATTTTCCCTGAAATTCTGATTCAGTAGGTACTCACTGGGAACAACTCCCCAGATATCTCTGAATCTCCTCCCTTGCTATACCTTTACCTTTTACACCAGATGACAACAGGGAAATAAAAAATAAGGCCTGTGACCTAGATAATTTAGATTTTTAAATAGTTCTTGTATTTTTGAGGTCACAGACTCCTTTGGAAATCCCGTAAAAGCTATGGATCCATAATTTTAAGATAAATACATACACAAAGTTTGTGTGTAAATTCAGGGGATTCATAGCCTTCTGAAGATCATTCTTGAACTCTCTAAGAACCCAAGGCCTCAAATTAGAAGTCCTAGGTTAAAGTATGTAGAAGATAGCATTACATGAAGGACACTCAACATATGTTAGTTTAATTAATCAGTTAACTGATTAATGTCTATCTTATTAATGCTATATAAGTGTATGTGGGTTATCTGTAGACTTTGAGCTGATATAAAGAAAGATACCTATATTTTCCTATAACTAGTACCTTTTTATCTCTGCTTATGACAAACTACAAAGTGGATATATTTTACAAACCAAAGAAAAAGAAAAAAATAAGGAAAGACACACAATGAATGTTAGAGTTGGGTCAATTTGATTTATTTTAGAACAAAAAGACAAAACCCAAAATGGTCAGTCATATCATCCTGATAGCACATATCCTCAGCCAGCCTATAGCCACTGCCCCAACTTCCCAAGCGAAATAAGACAATAATTCAGGCAAAATTATTTTATTTACTTGAATGAGATGTTTTTCTCAAACCATGTCAGACTTACCTGTTTGGCTGAGCAAGGCCCCATAGAGGTATAAGATGCCTTTGGCACCTAATAAATGAGCCTAGAACTGAAATTAAAAGCCACTTCATTAGCTTTGTCCAGTCTTTTCCCCCTCGACTACATCCAATTTTCAGTTTTCTGACCCAGATCTTAGCACCCCAATGCTGAAAAAATTTCAGGATAAAAGATGAACAAAAGAAAAGGTCTCACCTACACACCTGAACTGGTAGGCCTAAGGTAATCTTAGGTATCCTTTAGGAGGCACCTTGATTCTCATTGGCTTTCTAATTTCTTCCTCCTAAGCCAAAAGAGACCCTGAAGTCTTTTACTACCCACTTGTAGGGAAGGAGGAGAAGACACCATTTGTCTGAATTCCAAAAAGGTTCCACTGAACCCAGGACTCAGAATGTTAACCCTTCCCTTTATTACATGGCAAACTCTACCATAGCGCAGTGGTCCAATAATGATCCTTAGACCTACACTAATCTATATTAGTGCCCCATCCTGAGTGTGGAGTACAGTAAGAGAGGAAAGAAGAGAGGAACCTTGACCCTAATGATAGCCAAGCACCTATGCCTTACAATTGGCCCATAAAAGAGCTATGACTGAAATCCAGGCATTTGGATAACCAGCCCAGTGTTACTTCTAGTCCTCTAAAAATTTTAGTCTTAATCATTTTATTATTATAAGAGATGAAGTATCTTATTCTCTGGGAAATAATAACCATATCAAAGAAAATTTGATCTTCAGTTGGATATTCCTTAGCACTATGACTCATTCCTTTGCATCCCCACAGATCTTTGTTTTTCTCCTCAAAGTAGAACTTATTAAACCTTGTATTTTCCACAAATTAAAAGTAAACTTCTAAAGGGCAGCATTTATAGCTGATTCATCTTAGGGTATCTCATATAACATTTTGCATATACTAGGAATCAAGTGAAAGAGTGTTGGAGTGAGCACAAAAGAGTGGAAAAACTAAACAAAAACGAAGTTTCTCTTAGCATTTCACAGGCCTAATTGCTTTAAATGATGCATTTTCAACTGAGTTGTACAGTATTCTATTTGTATATCTTAAGCCACATACAAGTTGAAAAACTGCTTTCAAAGCAGTTAGAGTACTACAGATTACATGTAGCTAAAATATTAAATATTTGGCACCCAGATTTTCGACTAAATTTTTCTGTTTCCCTAAAGAATATTTGATAGTATACATATCCTCAAGGTCAGAAGGGAAAAAAAGAGACAAACAAACAACAACAAAAACCTGCTTCTGATCTTACAAAGAACATCTGAGCTAGAACACAAAGATCTTTCAAAGTTTTTAGATACCAGTTCACTTTTTGTCACATGTATGCCCTTGGAAAAAAAAATATATATATATACACACACACACACACACACACACACATACACACATCAAACAAGACAAAAGATCATGAAGAAAAAGCGAGATGCCTCCTTCACTCTTCCCCAGGGGAATACAATTCCACAAAGGAAAACACACATAAACCTGTTCCCTTGTACCCTTTTCTTGATCTGTAGAAGTTACTCATACCTAGCATACAAAAGACAGCCTGTTGGGTAATCAACACATTTCTTTCCCAGCCTTAGTCAGAGACAAGGTTTACCTGGGAGTCTTTAATCTTCTTTTGGCCATAATCTCACAAGTAAGCCAAGGGTCAGCCATCGCCAGCCATTCAACACTAAACAAATCACTATTATAGATATTTTAAGTTCAACATTGTGCTGAGGAAAATTCTATCAGTTTTTACACATTGGTACAATTGTCAAGATTCATTGTGTTTCCTCTATAATCACAAAGTAAAACTAGTCTTGGCTTGTGCAAAAAAGAAACAGAGAATAAATTGAATCAAGGACAAGTGGCTGTTTCCAAATGAATGACCTGTTTCCCAGACACGGACAATGTCTGTTTGGACCTCCCCCAACCCCATCATTGCTAACCTCTATTAAATGTGATATCTTACCAGCCTTGACAGCTGCTGTCTGTCAAATGCCTCTGCTTGCCTGAACCACTCTCACTAGTCAATTTAAATGTCCAGAATACATAATTGATGCTCTTTCTTGTAAATGCAATGGTTTATGGAATGGATCATGGCTAGAAGGTTGTCAGTTGAGGTAGTCTTCTGCATCTACTCTCATGGACCATGAGTAGTACAAGCTTCTCTCTCTCAGGAGTATCTACCTCACAGAATTGTCTTCCCAGTCCCAAGATTTCTACTTGGGAGTATAAAGCTTTGGCAGAAATGAAGTATAGCTTCCCTCCAGCTGGCTACAAGGGACAAACTGCCACAATCACTGCAAATGGCCCATGGGATATTTTCTTTGACACTTGATTATATTACTGTCTCCAACATGTATCTGAATAAGCTTGGTTCCCCCACTTAGGCCTCTTAGCCACCTCCAGCCTGGCAGATATACAATACAGCTTTAGCAATGGCTGTAAATTATTCCTGAGCTTTTCTGTCATGGGTCCCGAAACAAGACAATGTGACATATTTGCTGAGCTATTTAAACATTTCTTTATACAGCAACTAAATGCTGCTATCCATTTGAAAACTCTTGAGTGCCCATGATGGCTGCCTAGAAATCGGTGTGGCTAACCTCACCTAATTACTGATGAAGGTGTGACATCCCAAGGTAAGCATCTGTTGAATGCAGGGCAAAATCCACAGAATTCTCTGGAATCAGGCAGTCTTTTGCATCTCTTTGCTTCTTTTCTGCCCTAATGTAAAATTTAAATGGCTAGAAGTCAGAGAAAGCATACTCATGTTGCCAGATGCCACTTGCCACACTGCAGGAACCCATCTGCTCTATTAAATACTCTGGTCAGCTACTTCATGCAAATGCTCCAGGAGTCACTTTCAAATTGATCTGGGTTATCTCCAATTTCTTCAGTCAGTTTTCACATGCAGCTGCCTTGTGAATGTGTCAGTAATTGATATGTCATAGTCATTGCCCTCACCTTTCAGGAGCAACGTGTGAACATTTTTTTTTTCATTGTCATTGGGCTGAGACCTATTTATCCAATTCTAAATCTCATTAGAATGCTGTGTCATCTTGGAGCCAGAGAAAAATGGGGGAAGAAAATATGCAGACATCGGTACATCTGACGCCAGCCAGGCAGAATCTTTTCTTCAGCAAACCTTGCTGCCCAGAGAAAGACAGCCACTCTCAACAGAAAAAGAGGTGCTAAAAAGAAAGAATCTTCGTTCTTCACCTAATTTTGCAGGGTGGGTTTGCGAATTCACTGCTACCTTATCCAGGCCCTGTGAGATCTGTTTCCCATCTATTTGTAGCCTCATTACGCCAAAGCCACAAACACCAATTTTTAGTTTTGCTAACAAGATAATATTAAAAGGTCCAGTCTTCAGGATGATGTTGAGTGAGTGAGGACCTAGGGTTGGTTGTTTGTTTTTTACCTTTATTTTAGGTTCAGGGGTACATGTGCTGCTTTATTGTATAGGTAAATTACATATTGTGTCATGGGGGTTTGGTATACAGATTATTTCAACACTCAGGTAATAAGCATAGTAACCAAGAAGTAGTTTTTTTAATCCTCACTTTCCTCCCTCTCTCCACCCTCAAGTAGGCCCCAGTGTTAGTTATTCCCTTCTTTGTGTCCATAAGGACTCAATGCTTAGGTCCCGCTCATAAGTGAGAACATGCAGTATTTGGTTTTCTGTTCCTGTTAGTTTACTTAGCCTCCATGTTGCTGCAAAGAGCATGATCTCATTCTTTTCTAGGGCTGCATGGTATTCCATGGTGGATATGTATTACTTTTTCTTTATCCATTGTAACATTGATGGGCATTTAGGTTGGTTCCATGTCTTTGCTATTGTGAATAGTGCTGCAGTGAACATATGCGTGGATGTGTCTTTATGGCAGAAGAATTTATATTCCTTTGGATAGATATCTGTAATGGAATTGTTGGGTTGAATGGTAATTTTGCTTTGAGTTCTTTGAGATATATCCAAACTGCTTTCCACACTGGCTGAACTGATTTACATTCCCAGCAGCAGCATATGAGCATTACCTTTTCTCCATTACCTCATCAACATCTCTTATTTACTGACTTTTTCGTAATAGCCATTCTGAGTAGTGTGAGATGGTATCTCATTGTGGTTTTGATTTGCATTTCTCTAATGGTTAGTGATGTTGAGCATTTTTTCACATGCTTGCTGGCTGCATGTATGTCTTCTTTTGCAAAGTGTCTGTTCATGCCCTTTGCCCACTTTTTAATGGGGTGGTTTGTTTGTTGATTTGTTTAAGTTCCTTATCGATTATGGATATTAGATCTTTGTCAGAGGTACCAACATGGGACCCCAGCCACCCATTACCTGCCCTCAGGCTCAGAAGGGGACACAGTGATTAGGGACTATTTTGGACCCCAGCACAGCACAGCCAGCTTATGGAAAAGCAGCCAGACTGGTTTCCACATGGGTCCCTGACCCTGCTGCTCCTCACTGGGCCAGGCCTCCCAACCTGGGACCCTAGTCACCCCCGGCCTGGACTCTCAGGCCAGCAGCAGCTCTGCACTTCCCTGGAACAGATCTCCCAGAGGGAAAGGCAGGTTGCCATTTTTGCTGCTTGACAGCCCTCCCTTCTGTTGCCCTCAGGCTCAGGAGGGTACACAGTGATCAGGGACTATCACAGACCCCCAGCACATCACCTTACAGAAAAGCAGTCAGACTTCAGTTTTTTGAGCAACGGGGATTCTAATTGATATTAAAACCTCTCTTGGTTGAGGTCCTTCCAAATAGACTTACCAATGCCCTTTCTGATGTCCCGCCAATTTCAGGCATGTCTAAGCCTTTCTCTTTTCTCTCAGGCACTTTAAAAATAACATTAGAGAAAGCTATGCTATTTAATAATAAGTCCTAATGCCTCTACCACCATTGTATTATAAGATATTTTTGTATGTCAAATACTCTGTCAAATTGAGAGGACTGTCTTCTTTAAGGAGCTCTCGAATTTTTTCTTTATTCTGTTTTTTGTGGCCTCTAGTTTTATCTAATTAGGTCATTTAGAACCACCTCAGAGCCTTATCTTTGGCAGGTCACCCTCTATTCTTTATTCATTGACAGAATAACCTTTACTTGAAAAAGAGAAAAACTACAAACGTCAGCATGAACATCAAGATCCATAATTAAGTTGATGCTAAAAACTTCCTTTTAGTCTTTCAGACCACTTCTGCTTGGTTTATACAAATACAGCCCTGGCATTTTAGTTTCCATCTCCACCTTGCCCTTAGACTTTGACAGAACATTACTATATTTTGAACAGCCAGCCAAAGCTTCTCCCCTTACATGTCATGAGCTAGGGCAAAGACAAGTCTGGACAAGCTGGATATCTTAGACAGAAGCAAAGGGAACATTTATTCTTCTTTTCCCTCATTAAATTTACTTTATAGCCTCATTCTTCCCCATTTGTGGCAGGAAACACCAACTAGGCCTCTAAGCTTTTTATTTTTCTTTTTAACATAAACCACAGATGTATAGAACTAGATTAATTATAAATGTTTGTTTATTACCTATTATAGCTTCATGCATGTGTATTTTTATTGTATTATATCTATTTATTTAATAATAAGATAATAACCCCACAACCCAGCCAACTCCAGAACTAGAACATAGTGGATTCTACTCCTAATCCACCTCCTCGCTTTGCCGCCCAGCCCCCAGAGGTTAGCATGATCCTAAATTATATGCTTCTTATTCTTTTGCCTCCTTTTTATAGTGTACAACCCAATGTATTCATGAACAATATATTGTTTAGTTTTACTTTCTTTAATCTTATAAGAAAAGATAGTAAACTATAGGTAGTCCTCTGAAACATGCTTCCCCCCTTGATAGTATATAACTGTAATTCAACTTTATTATTGAATACAGCTGTATTTTATTCACTTTCATGGTTACATAGTATTCCATTCAGTAAAACACACTACAATCAATTTTTTAAATTTTTCTATCAATAAGCATTTGTGTTGTTTGGGTTGTTTTTGCTATTATGAACAATGTTGCTATTCTCAGAAGTATAAAATTTACTAAAAAATATAATTAAAAGTATTTTATTACTCCTAAGCATTAAAGAATCTAGTCCAGTAAAAGTGATAACATGCCAAAATATTACTTGATTTCAAATCAATTCCCTCCTTCAGCTGAGATCATTTTAGGGACAAAAATCCTGCAGTGAGGCAAAAGCACCAGGTTGGTTTTGTTAATATTTCTTGCTCTTCCTTCCCTACTTGCTGGAGGCTACTTCAGAACCCAAAGGCAGAGAGAAGTATGAGCCTAATCTCATGATGCTGATACAATTGTAATCAATATGATTATTGTTTTTTTCTTCATCTTTTTCTTTTTGTAAATCTCCCAGGGAGCTCACATGGTTTTTGGAGAGATTCTTCTGCTGAGGAATGCCTGGTGAAGCACTCTAAACACTAACAGGTTTTTAGGACACTCCCCTTCTCAGCCCATGGGCTTCCCCTAAACTTCCCTTCTGCAGGGGTTTCTTGGCCCCTGTGGACTGGCATCTTAGATGACATCCCTGTGAAGACAATTTCAGGTGAGCTCTGGGGCCAACCTCTAGGACACATGCATATTGGCTTCTCCATTGATGGGAATAAAGCAGCTTTCTCATAAGCCACTTAAATTTTCATACCTTCTCTCTCCCACCTAATGCCCAGCTAACCCACCTTTTGTGTGTAGGCTTCTCCCAGCAGATTGAAACAGAAGTGTCTCTGTTCTCCAAATTCAAAAAATGCATATCAAGCTCTCTGAGCTGTTTTGTTGATGCCCCTTCACTTGGCTTAATGTAAGAAGCCTTCAGCCTCCTCTGTCACCATGAAAGAAGAGGAGAATGTTTTCAATACTGTAACAGCTCTCCCCATACAAAGTCTGTTTCCCAAATCTAATTGGAAATCCTTGAGTAACTGGGAAGTGGATGTTTGGCTTGTGCAAGCAGAACTTATTCTACAATCTCTTGGCATGTTCTTCATAGGCATTCTAGTTCCTTATTTTAAGATATGAGTATGTCTGGCACCTATTTTGTTAGTCTCAGGTATTAAGGTCTCTTCTGAAATTTCAAGACCTAAAGTGTCTCACTTGAATATCCTGTTACACTTGCAACCTAAAAGGCTTTTTAGCAAATTAAGGAATTTGAGTCCTGGTTTGACTTCTTCCATATCCATTGGAAGAAAGAAGAAGTCTTAACTAAGACTGCAAACTTTAATTACAGGGGTCAGTAATTCTTGCCCAAGTGGGTGAGAATCACCTAGGAACAGAGGAGGATGTCTTGCCTATAACTGCAGTCAACTCAGAAGTCAACCAGATGTGGAGAATGACCAATCAATAAAGAAGACTAGACATCTTATCCAGTAGTCCTAATCTCTCACCAAATAGAGAAGCAGTGAAAGGTGGCAGAAGCAGATAAGGAATTTCAGAACCTGATACAAAGGAGGAGAGAGGCAGGAATAGGCATGTAAGAAGACAGTTGAGAAGAGAAATATACCTGGAACAAGCAGTGATGTATAAGCCTATTTTTGCATATGTCTGAGTTTAAAAAGCCAGAGACGGAATAGACCATGCTTATCTCGTAACCCAGTTACAGTAACTGGCTTCTTGCCTTGTTTAAATCTTCACTTTATCCCATTTCTCATAAATGTGGTTTTGCCCTCCAAGCTTGAGTTTCTGCTTTTAGTGGGTGGTCTTCCTGGTAATCCAGTGTAATCAGGGCTGGAGTCTCACTTGGCCCTCTAACCTTCTCCAGGCACTAGCGTCCATAAGAAATTGTGTCTCTCTGGTAGGATTTTTTACTATCAGCTTCCGCTTTGTTATGATGCCACTCTCTGCTTGACTTCCAAGATCTCTGTCTATCTTGGCCCACCAGTTTTCTCTATTGATCATTTCTCAAAATGACAATATTCTTTTCCTACTTGCCTGGCCATTCTTCTCTTGTTCACTTATACTCTGCTGGTGGGTATAGTTGGTTGTCAAATTTCAGTCATCCCATATAAGCCATCCTGCTGTGAGACCAGCCTTAAATACATGGCATCATAAAGTGTGCATTCAAATTTTACTACTTTATGTATTTACCTGTTCTTTAACTCCACAAACATTTATGGAGCATATACTGTGTGTCAGGCACTGTTCTAGGGATTGGAAATGTATCAGTGGAAAAAAAAATTCTCATTCTCATGAAGATTGTATTCCAGGGGGGAATATAGTCAATATAAATCAAAACAAATAAATATGCAATATATCTGATAATTTTAAATACAGTAAAAAATATAAAGGTGAGAGTGGAAAAGAGAGGCCTAGAGAGGTCATGGCAGGCCTTCAGGATATACATAGGCTCGTGACACATTGCTGGGAATGCTGTTTCTCTAACATAATATTATTTCTTAGAACATAATTGTAAGAACATAATAGGCATCTCTAATAGGACATGTGTGTACAAAAGCCATTTCCTGTTCTGATTCCATTATCCCATCTCCACTGCCCCACCCCCAACTCCCTTCCAATGTGTTCTCTCAAATCCATGACCCAGCATCAACAAAATCTAATTCATTTCTAAATGTTTCCCTCATTTTTCATGCATTCTAACTGAAGCCTGGTTCTGCCTGGCTCTGGGACATTCCTTCCCCCAACAACCCCTAGATGATGGCTGTGTTTTCTCTCAGCATCCTGCCACATGGCCTGGCACATAATAGGAACTCTGCAAAAACTGTTTTTGAATGAATGCCTTAAACTTTTCCCCTTCAGAACAGAAGGGATGTAGATCATGTGAATTGACCTTCTGGTTACAACTGATTGGATTGTGTCGTGTACCTCCCCTAGCTGGGGCAATATTTCTTTCTGGGCTTTTAAGACAGGCATATAGCTGTAGTGTGTAGCCAAGCCAGAGGGTCATGTAGGCCTTTGGGTTCCATATACTACCATTTTAAGGCAGCTTTGTGAAGGCAGATGAGTGAGTAGAGAGCTGCCCTATGGAGAAAAAATAAGCAGAAGCAAATTAGAGGCAGAAGATCATGTAGTGTGAAAGAGGGTGAAAGCGAAGGCTTGATGACTGTCCATTTTACAGAAGGACTAGCTGTGGTTCCTGAAATTCAGCTCCTTGACTTGAGATTCTCATATCCTGAAAATACAGTGATGCTGCTCCATCTCTCTTTTTTGATGTCTTGAATGATTTCTGTTCTGTGGCAACTGAACAGTGCTGCTTGAGACAGAGTACCCCTCTTGTGAGTTGGCTGTTTACACCAGTATGCATAGTAGGCTTATATCAACTAAATGGAATGCTTCCATTTTTCAAATCCCTGAATCATGTTATGATAATAATGTCAACTGTGGCACCTAACCTTTAAGCCTCTACCTTCTACCTTCATTTTTTTCTTTACAGAATGTACCCTTTCTAGTAGAACAAGGGTCAGAAAACATTTTCTGTAAAGGGCCAGATAGTACATTATTAATTAAGGCTTTGCAGACCATTCTGTCGGTTCCAACTACTCAATTTTGCTATTGTAGCCTGAAAGCTCCACGGACAGTGTGTAAGCAAATGGAATTGGTTGTGTTCCAATAAAACAGGCTCAGGATTAGGCTGCTTGAGTTCTAATGCTGACTTTACCATTAATTAGCTGTGTGTCCTAGGGCAAGTTAGTTAACTTCTCTATATAGCTTTGGTATCTTCTTCAGTAAAATGGGGATAATAATAGTATCCATATTATTCTTATAGAATCATTGCGAACTTTAAATATAATAATATCTATAGAGAACCTGGCAAACTGACCAAGCACCACTAATTGTAAATTGCTAGCACTGATCTTAAATGTTCTACATTTCTTTACCCATCAACTTTTTCCCCATTATTCTTATTTTCTCATTAATTCTAGTGTATTCTTTCCAGAAGCATATGTTCCATGGCATACGCATTGTTAATAGGTCACAGAAAGTTCTTCAAGTTCAGGTCAGATTGGGAATTTCTAGACTAAATAATGTTAAATCATTCCCCTCTCTATTCTTTTACTTGGGATGAAACATGGAAGAATTTCTCAGTCATCTAGATTGTGTTGTTTTAAATAAACAAGAAGGGAATATGGTTCCCAACAGTTCCCAGGCTTGCTGAAACATAACTCCTGAACTTGTGTACTTCAGAACATACTTTGGAAAATGCCGCCCCAATGGTTCATGGACAGCACTCATCACTTTAAGGTGGTGTGCTATTCCTACTGACACACCTGCTTCTGCCATTGACATACTTGCCTGCTCCCTGATTCCTGAAACTTTATGCTCATTCCCTGGTCTCTGCCAGAGCATGCCCTTTTGCTTCTTCTAATGTCAGTGTTGCTTCATTGCTCCTCAATGTCATTTGCTGCATTTTCTATGTCTGCCCATCCATTAAGGTCTTACCCTTGCTCATCTTCTTCTCAACAATTTTATTCACTCTTAGAGTTCTAACCGGTACTTAAGATTCCCACATCTACATTTCTAGTCCAGACTTTTCTTCTGATCCCAGACCATATATCCAGCTGCCTGCTGAGACATACTGATATATTCAAAGCTCAACTCAGTATCTTTGACTAAAGACTTGATAGTCTTTCTCTTCTAGTAACACTGCCACCAGGAAACAAAAGTCTAATAGTAATTCCTAAACTGTTTCTTCTAATTCAACTCCTGCATTCCATCAGGTGTCACTGCTGTGCATTCTATCCCCTTAACTGTTCCTCTTGTCCTCCTCTCCACTCTTCTCTATTTCTGTACCTACGGCTTCTTCCACCTCTGTTTTCTACCTCCAGAAATCTGTTCTTTATTCTATTGATTATTAGAAATTCATATCTGATCCTATTATCTCTTCAAGTAGCTCCACATTTGCTACATGATATAGTTCAATATATTCAGCATGGTACATAACACCCTTAATCATCTAACTCTCAATCTGCCACTACACTCTTACCATTCAACACAACCCTCCATATACCCCATCCAGTTTCTATAATGCACCTTTCTCCTGTCCCATTTTCTAAAATGACCTCACCCCATCTGCTCCCAAAACAGTTTCTTAGTTTGTGTTTCTCAGAAGCAGACTCTCAAACAAGAATTCCTATGGTAAAAAAAAAAATATATATATATATATCCTAAACTACCTCCACCTATGATTGTCTTGGAGCTATTTTACAATATATACATATATACACACACACACACACACACACACTCACACACACACACACACACACATAAATATGAATGGGGAAAAAGAAATTAAAAGACAACTGAATGCCCTGTCTAGCTCAATCTCCTAAATTATCTCCACCTATCATTGTCTTTGAGCTATTTTACAACATTGCAAGTTGTAGAAAATGTGGTAATGCAAATGATTCTTATCAGTACACAGTGAGGTTGTACCCAGTAGAATGCAATAGAATATTTTTCTATAGGTATTCACCAGCTCTGCCAGTTTTGCATCTACTTGTAAATTCATTTCATGGCATCTGTGTGTTGTGGTTTGTATCTGGCATGTCTGTGCAGTAGTTTGAACTCTCCATTGAATAGGGTTGACATATTTAGCAAATAAAATTATGAGATGTCCAGTTATATTTGAACTTTAAACAATTTTTAGCGTAAGTATGGTCTGATGCAGTACATGGGATGTACTTATACCGAAAAATTTTAAATTGTTTATCTGCATCTGGCAATTCTATCTTTGATTCAATTGTGACATTATACAAGTTCCCTTATTAATAGATAAAATAAAATCTATGATATATATATTCATTTGATGTGAGTCTTGATTTTACTGTTAAAAAATGTCCATTTAACAACATGCAAGTAGTTTATTTGGAAAGCAGGGGAATAAGAAAGTGATACAGAGAAGGGAAGTCAGCTGGCAAATGCACATTTTAAATCCAGTTACTACTGTGAGTAATGGAGGCTTGCTGTCCATGGAGAATTCCCAAGCACACCTCAGAGTTATCTCATCCATGGGTGAAGGAGGTGTGATATTTATTCACCAACTCCCATTCCAAACATTCCAGCCTAGACCTTTCTCCTGATCATAGACCATGTATCTATTGAAGGCTGCTTGGGAGAGAGAAACTTCCAGCATGCCAGCCTGTTATGACAGTGACCAAAGAACCAGCTCCAATGACATTTGAGCCAATTTGCACTAATGATATCAGGAAAAAAAAAATCTGGGCAGGCCACCAACAGCTTCAGCTGTATTAGGCAAATACACACATTCTTCAATATAACCAAAAATACTACCATAATGAATACTTGTAATTTTATGTTGCCTCAGCATTCATTTTGAGTATAGGGTTAACTGTCTCGTACCAAAAGCAGGGCTTAGTCATCCTTAATACAGCTTCTGGCTCTCTGCCTCCTCCCAGTATCTCAATGTGGTCCAAATCATCTTCTCTATACAATTGCTTCCTGGTAACTGCTTCTCTATGGGACATATAGCTACAACATACCAGACTAACCCCACTGACCCCTACACCCAGCATAGACTGTGTGGATATGCTACAGTGACCACTAATAAGTTATAGTGTGGCCCCACAGGACCCATGTCTGCTTGTTCTAAACTCCCCGATTAGAACTACCCATGGGAAACCTCCTTGGGTAACAGCCTGAACCCCAATATAGGCCTTGGCCAACAGGTCTGTCTCTTTCTGGCTCCCAGCTGCTGGTTTACCATGATGCTCCCTCAGTCTGTTCATCAGCCCTCACCACTACCCCCTCTTCTCTTATTGACCTGTAAGTAACAAATGACTTCGGCTATTTCATGTATTTTGTTGTGCTGCCTCCTCTGTGCCTCACCTGAGCAACACCACCTGAATCTAATTTCTTTCTTATTCAGGGTTCTTCTAGACAGTGGCTATCTTGGTGGAAATAAACTGGACACAGGTCAGATAAGAGCCACAAGGGGCAGGGCGTGGTGGCTCACACCTATAATTCCACACTTTGGAAGGCCAAGGTGGGTGGATCACCTGAGGTCAAGAGTTCAAGACCAGTCTGGCTAACGTGGTGAAACCCCATCCCTACTAAAAACACACACACAAAAAAAATTTCTGGGTGTGGTGGTGCATGCCTGTAATACCAGCTACTAGGGAGGCTGAGGCAGGAGAATTGCTTGAACCCAGGAGGCAGAGGTTGCAGTGAGCCGAGATCGTGTCATTGCACTCCAGCCTGGCAACAAGAGTGAAACTCCATCTCAATAAATATATAAAGAAAAGAGCCACAAGGGTGTCTGCCAGTATAGATAAATTTCCTACAAGAGGGACACTTCCCTGGTCATGGGTCAGACACTTGGGCATTAGGCCATCTGCCAGGATAAAAGAGCATCCTGAAAAAGTCACAGAGTAAACATCCACAGCGACATTCCCTGGAGCCCCATCATGGCAGGGCTAGAGTTTACAGCCACTCCCCATAGAGAGATCTAAAGACCAAATTTTTAAAAAATATATAATAGCCACCTTCTCCATGACACCTTTGTTAATTCCCAAAAGTGATGAACAGATCTTGCCTTTATGAGCTCATTGTCCTTCATAAAGACTACTCTAATATAATCTTTGACAGATATTACACTTATTTTTCTCAAAATGTGTATCTCCTCAAAATAGATTAAACTTCTGGAGAATAGAGATTAAGTTTTCTTAGTACATATAGCCCCAGTTCCTGGTAGGTAATCTAGAAAGTATTATTGAATAAATGAATGAATTAATTTGCACTGATTTGAGAGAAGAGGAAAATTGAAGGAGACTTCAACAAAAAGTAATATCTAAGCAAGTCTTGAAGGATAATAAAGTGTCTACCAAGATACGGTAGTTACTTCAGGCACAGAAATCATTATAAGCAAATAAATGAAGAGAGTGGATTTATATTTAAGAAAATGTTTGTTCTTTTCAGTAGCAAACATTTCTCATACCCTCTATATGTTGGATGCTTTTCCTCTCTTGTGCCTGAAGCATTTTAGAAGTCTAAGTTCTAAGAAAGAATGACAGAGCTTTACTGTGAGACTTTACCACAGCTTCTCCCAGAGTAAATGTAATCCAAAAGCAGCAGTAAATGTCTCATCTGAAGCAATTCAGCCTTGAGAGTTACTAACAGTGCGGTCATCCCCCTCCGAAAAGGCCATAATTACATTGTACCTCCTATGCCATTAAAATTTTCACACCACTTTTGAGGGTGCTATATATACAAACTAAATAATTAAAGTCATTCTCTTTTGAGTCCCTTCAGGAAAGACACACACACACTCACACACACAAATATTCTTCCCTTTGATCCTGGTATAATATCAGCGTTTTCAACAAATAAAATGGCTTGTTTTGTCAACTTAATAATGAAAGCCTGAATACTTCTGTCACTCATTCCTGGGGTTTACTTTTTTCTTATTTAAAAGCTGAGAGATGACAAATAAAAAGAGCTGTGTCTATTGGCCAGTTAAGAAATGCAAAAATCTGTGAGTAGTTGAATCAGTATGATGACTAAGATTACTAAGTCTTGTTTTTTTACTGAAAACAATTTTGGTAAGAATAAAGAAATGTTAATTGGGGAATTTCTTAAATTAGGGAGTTTAAGATTTATAAAATACCTGAATTACACAGAGTAAAGGAAAGCCAATATATTTCTACCCCGTGATAGAGGCAATGGTGAAATTGGAGGACATTCTAGGCTTGACCAGTGAGCACACCAGGTCTTTTGATAGTCAGATTTGACCAGAGGAATAAGATAGGAAGACAAGATTTTGTGGGGTTGAAGCTCAGGAACAAAATCACAAATCAGCAATGGTCTTTAAGGGGTTAATCATTGATCTAATGAACTTAATATCGAACTGTGACAAATCCAGTCTTGATTGAGGAAAGCATTCAAGTCCGGTGGAGAGAAATAGTGTGTTTGTGTATGAGCATAAGTGTGTTTGCTGGTTGTAGTTAAGTTCGGATGAGAAACCACATTATGGATCCAGTAGATTCATTCATTTTAGAACTGATCTCCAGTCAGTAGACAGTGTCCAGCCTGCACGTCCAAGGGATGGGAATTATAAGTGGAGGGTTCATTTGGGGCTTTGGAAAGATCTTGGTTATTGGAGTCAAAGTGTGCTGGAATATAGGATCCCACTTTTCTCCCCCTATTTCTGTATGACTTTAGATGATCTTCTTATTCTCTCTCAACTTCAATTTGCTTATCTATAAAATGGAGATTCTAATAGATTATTATATCTTATGGGATTGTTTGAGTATTAAATCACTGTGTTTGAGTATTACAGCACAGAGTTTGGAAAATTGTAAGTGTGCAATTATTGTTATTTTTTTTCTGTTTCTCTAAATCCTAGAAAATTCAGGCAGATGAAAAATAATATTGATGTGGTCATCAAAAAAGGGAATTTTGGAAGCTATGGCTATCTGAAGTTCTCTGTAAGTGTGAACTATAATAGACCTTTAACCATTAACAGCAGGACTAATTTTATACTTGATCCACACAGAAAGTTTGGAAATGACAAAAATGTTGCCTTCCCAGGCTAGAATTACATTAGAAGCTGGGGCTGAGACTGCTGGAAAAATGGGGATGTCTTAGAAAATAAAAAATGCTTGGATCACTAGTCTTCTTCATATAAAATATGGAACTCATAAATAAAACAGCATTTAAAGGGTAACCAAATGGGAAAAAATATTTCCTTGTTTTATTCTTATTATTTGGGGAAAACAGTTGGACTTAAATGGAAGTAAATTATAAAGATTTTTTACTTACTTTTTTGACAAACTGAATCAAAAGAAGACAGTCTCAAATGATTTCAAGCAAACATATACAGAGGTCCTCTTTAAAACAGCATTGTGGGCCAGGCATGGTAGCTCATGCCTGTAATCCCAGCACTTTGGGAGGCTAAGGCAGGTGGATCACTTGAGGTCAGGAGTTCAAGACCAGCCTGGCCATCATGGTGAAACCTCGTCTCCACTAAAAATACAAAAATTAGTCAGTGTGATGGCTCATGCCTGTAATCCCAGCTACTTAGGAGGCTGAGGCAGGAGAATCACTTGAACCCAGGAGGCAGAGGTTGCAGTGAGCCCAGATGGTACCACTGCACTCTAGCCTGGGCAACAGAGTGAGACTCCGTCTCAATAAAAACAAACAAACAACGAAACAGCATCGAAGACACTGCTCAGTTCAGATTCTCTTTCTGGACTTACTCTTTCCACAGAAGTTCCACTGAGACGAGCCTGTTTTATTTCCATTCATCCACTGACTAAATAAATGCAATTTCCTGGTGAGATATGCTGTGCTGCACAAATACTTGTGCTGTTCTGGGAAAGCCGAGGTGCCTATCAGAAATTTAAAAGTGGAAGGGACCACCAAAGATGCCTAAATCTTATTTCAACACTCAATCTTTCCCTCCCTTCTGTAGTCAAAATCGTTAATTTGTGTTAGTTTTATCTATTGTTAAGGAATACAAGCAATGAACAAGAGTGAATGGGAGAAGAAACACAGGAGCCATTTTACAATTCATCACGGTAAGAGTAACATCACTATGTATTAAAAATACTACGTATAGCTGTAAATTGCTCTATATTCATAAATATAATGCATGAATTATATAGTTGGAAAAACAAATAGATGATAGATACCTAGAAATTCTCAGAGAATCAAGAGTCTCAAAATAGTAGATATACTTTATGTGCAGTAGAATAAAGCAATTTAAATAACAAAAACTTCTCATGTATATGTGGCAATGTTAGTTTATATAAAACCAACATGAAAATTTGGTTTATTCACTACTCTTATTAAAAGTGAAATGTTTCTATTATTCAATATGAACAATTGACAAATGCTTTATCATAGCCGAAGGGATAACTACAAGCATAACCTCATTTTATTATGCTTTGTTTTATTGTGCTTTACAGTTATTGCACTTTTTACAGATTGGAGGTTTATGTCAACTCTGCCTCAAACAAGTCTATTGGTGGCATTTTTCCAATGGCATGTGCTCATTTTGTGCCTCTGTACACCATGTTGATAATTCTTACAATATTTCAAACTTTATTATTATTATTACCTATGTTATGGTGACCTATGAGTGATCTTGGGTGTTACTATTGCAATTGTGTTGGAGTGCCATGAGCAATGCCCCATAAGATGGCAAACTTAATCAATAAATGTTGTGTATGCTCTGATTGCTCCGCTGACCAGCCATTCTGCCATCTCTCCCCACTCATGCCTCCCTATTTCCTGAGACAAAACAATATGGAAATTTGGCCAATTGATAACCATAAAATGACTTCAAAATGTTCATGTGAAAGGAAGAGTCACAGGTGTCTCACTTTAAATCAGAAGCTGGAAATTATTGGAGTCAGTGAGAAAGGCATGTCAAAACTGAGATCACCAGAAACTACGCCTCTTACACCAAATAGTTAGCCAAGTTGTGCATGCAAACAAAAATCTCTTGAATGAAATAAAGTGCTGCTCCAGTAAACACACAAATGAAAAAAAGCAAAACAGCCTTACTGGTGATATGGAGACAGTTTTAGGAGTCTGGTAGACGATTACACCAGCCGCAACATTCACTTAAGCCAAAGCCTAACCCAGAGCAAGGATCTAACTCTCTTCGAGTACACGCAGGCTAAGAGAGGTGAGGAAGCTGCAGAAGAAAATTTGGAGGTATCAGAGGCTGGTTCATGAGGTTTAAGGAAAGAAGCCATCTACATTACATAAAAGTGCAAAGTGAAGCAGCAAGTGCTGATGTAGTAGCTCAGCAAGTTATCAAGAAGATCTAAGATAATTAATGAAGCTGGTTATATTAAACAACAGAATTTCAATGTAGACAAAACAGCTTTCTATTGGAAGAAGACACCATCTAGGACTTTTACAGCTAGAGAGAAGAAGTCAATGCCTGGCTTCCAAGCCTCAAAAGATGAGCAGGCTGACTCTCTTTTCAGGGGCTAAAGCAGCTGGTGACTTTAAGTTGAAGCTAATGCTCAATGCTCATAAGCCAATGCTGATGGCGATGTATGGATCAGGAGTAATTCTGTGTTTCAAGTCTTATTTAAGAAATACATTTCTTAAAGCTATAGTTGCCATGGATACCGATTCCTCTAATGGATTGAGGCAAAGTAAATTGAAAATATGAAAAGAATTCACTATTTTAGATGTCATTAAAAACTTTTATGATTTATGGGAGGAGGTCAAAAGAGCAATACTAACAGGAGTTTGGAAGTTCATCTGAACCCTCTTGGCTGACTTTAAGGTGTTCAAGACCTCGGTGTAGGAAGTATCTACACATGTCATGAAAATAGCAAGAGAAATAGAATTAGAGCTGAAGCCTGAAGATGTGACTGAATTGCTGCAATCTCATGATAAAACTTGAACACAGGAGTTTTTTCTTTGGGATGAGCAAAGAAAGTGGTTTATTGAGATGGAATCCACTCCTGGTGTAGCTGTTGTGAACATTGTTGAAATGACATCAAAGGATTTAGAATATCACATAAACTTGGTTGATAAAGCAGTGGCGGTGTTTGAGAGGACTGACTCCAATTTTGAAAGTTCTACTGTGCACACATTATAGAGAAATCTTTCCTGGAAGAAAGAGTCAATTAATACAGCAAATTTTATTGTTGTCTTATTTTAAGAAATTGGCACAGACACCTCAAATTTTAGCAACCACCACTTTGATCAGTCAGCAGCCATCGTCAATGAGGCAAGACTCTCCACCACAAAAAGATTACAATTCAACTGAAGGCTCAGAAGATTGTTAGCATTTTTAGCAATAATGTGTTTTTAAATTAAGGTTTGTATGTTGCTTTATAGACATAATGCTGTCGCACACTTAATAGCCTTTCTCACTGACTTCAATCATTTCTAGCTTTTAATTTAAAGTGAGAGACCTATAACTGTTCATTTCATATGAACACTTTGAGGCCATTGTAGGGTTATCAATTGGCCTAATTTCAATATTGTGTGCAATATTGTGGCTACTAAGTGTACAATTATGTCTAAACAGAACCTGTTTAACACTGGGAAAATGAAAAATTTGTGTGACTCACTTTATTGCAATATTTGTTTTATTAGGGTGGTCTGGAACTGAAACTGCAATATTTCCAAAATTTGCCTGTAGTCGTTTACATATATTTCATCCCACTTCATTTTATAAAAATGTGTACTGTCAAGATTTAAGCATAACATGCAGTTTTAACAACCCATATGGATTTTAATGAGATCTGTTATTAAATGACAGCTATAGGGAATTTAATTTATAGAAATGTTAGTATCTTAAGATTACAGAGAGTTGATTTAATCAGAAAATAATTGAATTTCAGGAAAATGGTTATATTAATCATTTAGATTAGAAAATATTTTAAATTATGTCCCAGATAATGTGGAACAGGGGAGTCTTTAGAAAATTAAAATCAATGATTTAAATTAAACCAAACAAGACATTAGATTTGCTGGTGCTCAAATCTATGTTTAAAAGACAAAATAAGGTAAATGAGAAGATATTGGCTACTCTGTCTCATTGGCTATCTACAGTTCATTAAAAACTAAACCCAATTATTCTAAGCCATGTGAAAGGCCTAAAGAAATGTGACACAGGATGTATAGAAACTGTATTATCACTACAAAAGTGACTAGGATTAATTAAAATATGACTAATCTGTCAACGTTTGCCCTATAATATTTTTCAATTATCACTAGCCTTCATATCCTGGAATAGCTAGAACCCATCAAAATTGATCCTCATATGAATTCTACTGCCCCACTTTCTTCCAAATTAGAGGTGTATTCTTACATGGTAAGGAGGAGAAGAAAAAGAGAAGGAGAAAGTGGAAAGACAAGAAGCAAGAAGGACTAAAAGGAGGAAGAGAAGACAAGGGAGAAAGAGAAAGCAGGGGGAAATGGAGAAAAGGGTTTTAATCATAATCCTGAAAGACACAAGTCAAAATACCATAATCCTGAATGTTTAAATCCCAAAAGATCAAAACCCCTGAAGATTTAAATCTCTGAAGTCTTAAATCTCTAACATCTAAAATCCATAAAATCACAATCACAGGAGAGTTGCATCACATTACGCAGAACTATTACCTTGTTATTGTCTTTATTTGGAATTAAGTATGGTGTAGAAACATGTGATGTTCTCACAAGTGGGAGCTAAACATTGAGTACACATGAACATAAAGATGGGGGCAATAGACACCGCAGACTACTAGAGGGGGAGGGAGGAAAGGGGGCATGGGTTGAAAAACTACCAATTGGTTACTATCCCCACTACCTGGGTGACAGGATTTGTATCCCAAACCTCAGCAACATGCAATATACCCATGTAAAAAGCCTGCACATGTACCCCCGTATCTAAAATAAAAGTTGAAATTATATTTTAAAAAATGATGCATATGGGTGCCAAGTTGACAAGAGGTGAACTTGTGAACTTCATTTAGGTGTCAATTTGATTGGATTAAGGAATGCCTAGAAACCTGCCAAAGCATTATTTTGGGTGTGCCTATGAGGGTGTTTCCTGAGGAGATTACTGTGTGAGTCAGAGTGGACTAGGTGGGGAATAGCTGCCCTCCATACTGGTGAGCACTGTCCAATCTATTGGTGGCCCAGAGAGAGCAAATACAGAAAGCAAATTGGCCTCTCTCTGAGAGCTAAGACAGACTTTTGTTCTGTGGCCTTGGACATCAGAATTCCAGGCTTACTTGGTCTTTGGATTGCAACGCTTTCACCAGCAGCTTCCTGGGGTCCTGAGGCTTTCAGGCTTGGACTGTGAATTATACCATCAGGTTCCCTGGTTCTCAATGTAAAAACATTGAAAATTCCTCAATAAACGCAGATATCCTTTTTGTACATCTTTATTTGTGAAAGATAAAATTTCTCATGATCTCAGCCCTTTGGGCAACTGCATATGCAGCACCGACTGATCTCAAAAAACTTAGATTATCTGTCACAGTATTTCAGATGACCACAGTTATAAAGCTGAGTGCACACAATTGCCAACTGTAGTGATATCCATTTATATATTTCTATTTTTGACCTATTTATGAATACAGTTTGCTCATAACTGTTATACCCATCCTACTGTCATTAGTATACCTGTTTATGTTTGCAAAAATATGTGTGCTATCATTGCTTATTTTATTGTGTAAGAGGCCTATGAAGTGTTTTGTCATGTTTTTATATGTTTCTCAATCAAATCCCCTTTTAAAAATACATAAACAAATGTCTTTTAAAGATTGCTTGAAGTATTTTTCCAGGATTATGTTTTTAAGATTTTGATCTTTTGGAATTTTAATGTCTGGGATTATTAGGTTTGAGATTGTACTTTTGGAGATTATAATCAGCTGTTAGAGAAAGAATAAGGAAAAGGAGGAGAAATGTGAGAAAATGGAAAAGAAGTAGTAGGAGCAGAAGAAATAATGGAAGGGAAGGAAAAAAGGAGCAAGAAAGGAAAAAAAGAGGGAGGTAGGAAGGAAAGGAAGAGAAAAACAAGAAAAGAAAGAGAAAGAGAAGAAAGAAAGAAAGAAAGAAAGAAAGAAAGAAAGAAAGAAAGAAAGAAGAAAGAAAGAAAGAAAGAAAGAAAGAAAGAAAGAAAGAAAGAAAGAAAAGAAAGAGAAAAAAGAAAAGAGAAAGAAAGAAGGCAGGAAGAGAAGGAAGGGAGGAAGAGAGGGAAGGAAGGAAGAGAGGAAGGAAGGAAAGGAGAGGGAAGGAAGAGGAAGGGAAAGAGAAAGGGAGGAAACAAAAAAGGAAGATTCAAAGTATGTGCAGCCCTACTGCAAGCTGATGGTGTTATTGGCCTCTAAAACTTCCTGTGGTTAATGTATCAAGGTTCTTTATTAGTTTAGAACAATTTCTGGATACCAGCTCCCTCACTCCACAATATATCCTCTTTTAACACTCTTGCCATTGAAAAACTTTTTTCTTAGCATGGAAACCATGACTCCACCATCATCTCCCGGTTTGTGTTCTTTTTTTTTTTTTTACTTCCACTAGCATATAGCCTTATATATGCTCCCCGGATAATGGATATAACTGCCTAATGCATAAGAATACTCTATGTGGCCAACACATAAGAAATCTGTCTCTCTCTGTGTGTGTGTGTGTGTGTGTGTGTGTGTGTGTGTGTGTGAGAGAGAGAGAGCGAGAGCGAGCGCGCGTGCACGAGAAAGAAGATATAACTGAGACTAAAAGATTGCAAAATTTTTAAAAATAATTTTTCAGAATTTGTCAAGATGAGACTTTTATGCTAAATTGAGCTCAATTGTTTCTTTAATCTGAAAAGAAACTTGAATCTCCTCAGTCTTCTCTGAGCTGCAGAAATGGGCAGTAACCCAATCCTCTTCTGCTGCTCAAGAAGCAGGCCCAATACAGATGTCAGCACACCCTCACTGAGGACTTTTCCATGTCAAACACTATATGCGGCATTGAAACAAGGATCCTAAGGCAGCTTTTGCTCTCAGGGCTTCCTCTGTGCACAATTCCCAGGGCACATTTCCCTTATGAGTTTCTGTGCATGACAGCTCTAGTCTCGATGTACGTGCTTGTGATACTATCTACTCAGATACAGCTCCTAGTCTCAAGATTGCAATGTGACATGGGAAGTGCTGGAATAGAGATAGGACAAAAACATTCAAGAGGTGAAAGTGGTTCCATAAAGATAGTAGTGTCTGAGGAGAGTCTTAGGGGCTATATTGAATTTAGACAAGGAAAAAGAAGGGCAGGTGATTATACCAGAGGGAAACAGCAATCCCTAAAGACATGAAGGAGCAAACAAGCAAGAAAAGTGCTGAAGTTCAGATAAAATTCCACATTGCTCTGGCTGCTCCAAAGAAATTAGGTCTGACTATGCTGAGGCAGCAAGGAAAGAAAGAACTGAAGAGTGGACGTACTTTAAGATGGGGCACACGTCTCCAGTGTGTTCCAGTGGTCTACTTCACCCTCTTTGCCTGGCCCAGCCCACATACCTCATTTGCAATACCCAAGTGGCCCATAGGCATTTTACTTTCTCATCCCCGGCTTAACATGACAAGTCCAAATTCTTCAGTCTGGCATTCTTGCCGTCTCCCTGCAATGACCATCCCCTTCAGCAATAGAGAGAAGCTGCAGCTCCCATCACTTCCAAAGAGAGTCCCAGGTATCCTGCTTAGAGTATATTCCCTCTACAGCGCTCGACAGCCCTCACACATTTCTTGTTCCTCCCCTCTTTATCTATTTGAAAGGCTGTCTGCTTTTCTCAAGTATCTCATTCCTATACTTTAAAGACACACATCAAAGATTTATTTCTCCCATGAAGACTGTCAGATTAATCTCCATATCAACTGGTTTTGTCTGAATCATTTTAGTAAATACAATTAGCAAAGGAGTTTATGAAAATTTTACCAAAGTCATAGAGTTAGCAAGAGATAAAGTCAGGATTTGAATCCATGGTGTCTGATTATAAAAGGCAAACTCTGGCATTCACATGACAAACTAGAACACAGAGAAAAACACATCCATGCTTTTAATTGTCGTTTGAATTCTTCCCTGCTTTTTGTTTGTTTGCTTTTGAATTTACATTGTTCCTTTTCAGAATGCTTCTAAATCCTTAAATTCTAAGGACTGAATCTACCACTTTGTATATTCTATATTACTTAGATTTAGATTCAGAGTCAATTATTGTCATTTGACTATCGACTTTGATGCAGACATCCAGTGGAGTTTTTCCATGTACCCTTATCAAATCTGTAAGACACTGAGATACACGTATTATTATTTGTGCTTTTCAGACTTAGTCACTATTTAAATCATTATAGAGGGTAAAAGACTGAATATGAATATAGGGGTCCTGACATCAAGCTCCAAGTTCTTTCCACTACAAAACTGATTGCTTAACATCATACTAGATACAGAGAGGACATTTCATTAATGCTTTTTAGGTGAATGAATAGTTTTAAAAAAAGAATTCAATGACAATGTAATAAAAATAACCCAAGTAGAGATCTGTATTATGATAATATAAACTTCCTACAAATCAATCAATTACATGGTTATCATCATGAAGGGAATGCAAAACCAAAGAATATTTTGAGAAGGAAATTAAGCAATGGTCCTTGAAAGATTAAATAGTACAGAGGTGCAGGACAGAATAAAATGGGAGAGATTAAATGGACAAAATGACAAAGTGTACAGTTAGGAGACAGGTGTAGCTCAAATGTGATACATTAAAGGAATGCCCTTGCTACTGGTCAGAATTTTAAAGTGTCCATTTCTCCCTATATAGCACAAATGCTCTGAATTAAAATTGAGACTGGCTATTTGCACATTCATCCTCTTGTCACTTTAATCTATTGCCGCTCATGTATCCCCTGTGGAATTTGTAGACATTTTTAATTCCCCACGAGATAAAGTGGGACAGGATGGAATAGACCATGTCTTACTAATCTTTGAATACTTTAAGACAACATTACTCACACTGTGTCCAAATGAAGTTCAGAAATACGGCAGGAAGTTCAGTTGTGGTGGCTCATGCCTGCAATCCCGGCACTTTGGGAGGCCAAGGCAGGTGGATTGCTTGGGCCTAGGAGTTTGAGACCAGCCTAGACAACATGGTGAAACCCTATCTCTACAAAAAATTGAAAAATTAGCCAGGCATGGTGGTGCACACCTGTAGTCCCAGCTACTCGGGAGGCTGAGGTGGTAGGATCACCTGAGGATAGAGAGGTCAAGGCTACAGTGAGCCATGAATGCTCCACTGCACTCCAGCCTGGATGACAGAGTCAGACCTTCACTGTCTCCAAAAAAGAAAGAAAGAAAAGAACAAAAACAACAAAAAATAAAGAAATACCGTGGGAGGAAAAAGCACGTGTCTGGTGTAGAATTTTTCAAAACTTTACTTTCCTATCTTATGAATTGCCAAAAGGGAGATATGGTTTGCAGTTCTCCCCAAACTTTTAGGACCACAGCTTCTTCCTATCTGTACTCCTTCAGGGGTGCTTATTCCCTAGGGATCAATTTCCCTGAGTACAGAAGGGATAACATTGTTCAAAAGATTTCTCATAGTGCTACAATTGAAGATGTCTTCTAAATGTTCATCGAATGAAAGAGTGCCTCTGTAAAAATAATCACATTTTATACTTTAATTATGTTGTTTTACAATCTCTCTGGAATTTTAGTATTGCTACTTATATTGTGATGTTGTTTCTACAACTTAATTGCCTCTACATTTGTTGACCCATGTCAACAAGGAGCACACATCACATTGTCTCATATTGGATAGTATGTCTCTAAGCTTAGGTTCAGTTATTTTGTAGAAGACAACATCCACAGAGTCTTGGCGGCTTAGATAACAAAGGCTTATTTCTTGCTTATGTCACCAGTCCTGTGCGGGTGGTCCATCGCTCTGGTCCATGTTATCTGCATTCTGGGATCCAGCCTAAGGGAGCATATCTGAAACATTCCAGTCTCTTGACAAAAGGTAAAGAGAACATGGTGAACCCTCACAATGTGTTTAAAACTTATGCTCTGATGTGTAAGACATCACTTTCACTCATACTTCTTTGGACTAAGCAAGTAACACAGCTAAACCCCTGTCACAAGAAGAGGGCAGCAAATAGTTTAACATAAAAAGATCCATCCACTATGCTGAGTTTTCTTCTTCTAATAAAGCCCGGGTCTTATAAAGAGGTAACAGAGTAAATTATCAAATCATGCTGGCTTAAACATTTAGCAGGCACAGTAACGAAAGCAATTATTACAGTTTTATTTTTTAATCCCATATTCTAATAGACATACTCAATATTCAGATTTACCCTTGTATGAATTTCCTTTGTATGAATTACCCTTGTATGAATCTCATTGAGATACGTGCCTCTGCCTCTGGAACATGAAAAGTCCATCTCTTCTTCCTCCTTCTAAAGATATAGTGAATTTAGGGAATAATATATTCTGCTTTTAAGTAGTGGTAAATACCCCCATTCTAATCCATTCCCCGATTGCCAAACACAATTGATGCTGATTAAAGATAGAACAAACTAAAAATATTATTTGTCTGTGTAAAAGTAATTTTAATCATGAACCTTAAATTGAACTGTTTACAATGTATGCCTGTTTACTCTGCAACACAATAAGGATTATGTGTTCCATAAAAAGTCAGATAAACTGTGTTGAAAGTTTTATTTTATCACAACAGTAAACTCTGTTCACATATTTACATATTGTTTGGGAATCACGAATCATCTGCTCACAATCTAGAATACTAATGATCATGGTGATGTACAGCACATGGTCGATAACGTTTTTCATCTGTACCTTGAATACACCATGACTCCACTGATGATCATAAACCTCCACCATTTTGTTCCATTTAGTAAAAGTTACATTTTCTCGACTAACTTATTTCTTGCATAGTAAATGTCCTAATTTATAAGGTCGATAGGATATATAAAAGCAAATGAATAATATATGTAAACTCAAGTTTGTCATCATCATATAGATTCTTATTTTGTGTAGTTAATAAAAGTTCTACTTTGACCAGACCTCCCAAAAATTGTATCATATAATCTGTAGTTTATGCACTAGGAGATTAGTTTTCAAATGCACAATGAAGTGCGCTATAATTTGTAATTAAACATATATAAAGCACTTATTTGTAAATTATTTTCTTAGTATATAAAGTAAAACAAATATAAGGGTATCCACAGAGCAATAAAACTCTCATCTAGTTAGTTTATGGCGTGTTTTCTTGAAAGGAAGGAAAATAAACAGATTTGGAACTATTATACCGAGAACTGAACATGACCACAATACGCATTGGGAATGTGCTGTGCATATGCCTATTATCCAAAATGTCTACAGCTGCTCCCGCAAAAAGTTTGAGGGAAATAGGCAATTATATGGTTTCTGGGAGTCAGAATTTTTAGAACTTGAAAAAAAATTAGATATTATCTAGGATCATTATGTTATCAAATTCTAGAGATACCATCTCCCTTCATTTTATGTGACTGGCACATCTGAGTGATACATAGACTACAATGAAAATGGTGCCCCCTGCAGCATGAAATTAGCAATATCACATCCACCTCTCATTTAATACATTTGGAAACTCAGACCCACAGAGAGGAATCCTCTGCCCTGACAGCTCCAGGAGCCTAGCTTTGACGTAGGAAGGGTAAGTCCATGAAAAGTTGGTGTTGACAAGTCCTCCATGCCATCTGAAATTCTACAAGTATGATCTTGTATCTGTGTTGAAGTCTTGTACATTTAGAATTGAATTGCTTTTCCCCATTATTTATTTGTTCAGTGTTCTAGAAATAAAGAAGAAAGCCAGTTTTGGTAGAGGAAATAAGTAGGATCTCCCAGGTCTGGGTAGCAGGAACAAGAGGTAAATTATGTCTATAGAAGGCAGTAGTGCAAGGAGTCTGAACAGGAATTTGATGATATCCAAAGCAAATTATACTTATGCAACATAGTCTATATAGTCAGGTCCACTGTTAATCTCTCCTCCTTACGCTGCTCTTTGGATTTTAAAATCCACCCCTAAAACTGAACTATTTGGTTTCTTCTTATGGTGTATGAAGAAACATACAATGTGTATGAAATACCTACTCTGAGGGAAATTTTAGTTGGCTCTAATATTTCTTTATTATTTAGTCGCATTGTACAGACACAAACTAATGTGGTACCAATCTAACAAAGAATGTGGACACATTTAATGGAAAGCAACACTCGAATCCATGTGATAGAATAAAACAGGATTTAGGAAAAACAGAAGTGGATAAGAAAGACAAAATAACACTAGTTTAGGTTAACACCATGAGCTAGACATTTTATTAACCTTCTTGGCTTTTGTTGTCGTTGTTCTTAATAAAAGAACCTGCCAGTTTTTAGCTATGTAAAAGGCACAGGAATCGAAAACACATTTCTCAGCTTCCTTTGAAACTAAGGTGTGGTTATGTGACTGAGTTCTGGTGAGCAAAATAGAAGTGTGTTACAGCTTCTTAAAGATGCCCTAAAAAGGATGATATTGTGTGCTGTTTGCACGTTTCTTCATTACCATTTTTTCCATCCTGCTGTCTGGTACACAGATGTGTTGGTAGGAGTCTGACAATGTGTCAGAGTGGTGAATTGAAACTGACCTAAGTTTCTGACATCTTTGAGGAGCCACATAGCAACCCTGCATCTCCTATCTCAGAACATTTTTCCATGTAGTCAAAATAAACTTTTATCTCATTTAAACTACATCATTTGAGGTTTTTGTTATCTGAAACTAAACATAATCCTAACTGATATTCTCTTAATTTACAGATGCAAAACCTGGGAACAAAATAAAATACCTATTCAATTGCAAAGTGGTAGGAAGAGTAGTTATACAAAAGCTATTTATGACTGCAAAATCTGTATTATTTCCCAGAGAATACACAACTTTCTGGTTAGCATAAGAGTTACTAGAAACAGAAGATAGCCCAAAGGCAATTTTAAAAAGGGGCCAGATTACAGTCTTTGAGGTCTGAAGTAATCACTCAAATCTTATTCACTCAACACTGACCACAGCAAAATTTTTGCTCATCATTAGTTATGGGTGATAAATAAGTAATGGGCAAAGTCAAAACTGATCCTTGGATTTTTATGCTTGATTGGCTAAGTAAATGGTGGTGGTGCTGTTTGTGCAATTGCTAACAAATACAAAACCAACCCATTACTTAAGGTTCAGTACTTGAGCCCTCTCTGCGTCCTCAGCCCTTTGCTATGATACCTTCTCCACTTGGTGCTCTACCCGCCTATGGCTAAGCTGATACCTAAGGTGAAAGACAAAGTCCTCTTTATATTTACTTCCACTTTTCTCAAGCAGATGGAGTCTCTCCCCATAGCCACTATGGCTGGGAATGTGCTGAGTCTCATTTAAAGCCAGCAAGTGCCAGACTCATACCCAAGGCCCACGGCATACTACCTGAGTATTGCTGCCAGTTATTCAGGGTCCAAAGGCTCTTTAGTCAGCAAGTGATGGATCCTGCTAGGAGGAGGTCCTTTCTTTTGAGGCAGTGAGTTCCCTTCTGGCCCAAGGTGTGTCTAGAAATGTTATCCAGAAGCTAGGGCCTAAAAAGGGGGCCTCATTACTCTGACTGGTGCTCCATCCTACTGTGGCAGAGCTGGTATCCAAAACGCAAGACAACGTCCTCTTTACCCTTCCCTCTCCTCTTCTCTCCTCAAGTGGAAGAAGGAAATCTCCTGTGGAGCCATGAGCTATGCAGCCTGGGGTTGGGAGAGTGGTGGCACAAGCACTCTCTTAGCTGCCCCATCTGTTGTCTCTGTAGATCACATACCCCCGTTACCAAGTCCACAGGACCTGAGCCCAGTTTAGCAATAGGACTCACCTAGGAGTTGTAATCCCTGTGACCTAGACTGCCTTTCAAGTTTATTTAGGGCCTCAGACCCCTTTAGCCCACAGTGGTGAGGTTTTCTGGAACTCAAGTCCTGACCTGGGTGCTTCGAGTTGCCCACTGGGTTGGGCAATTCCTCTCAGGCTACGGCTGGTTTAAATGTTCCCTTCAGGGTAGGCATCAGCTGAGTTCAGCCTGGTTTTGCTTTCTGCTATGACGGGGCAGCACTAAGTTCAATGCAATGTCTTACAATTGCTGCACTCTCCCCATCCCAAATGCATAATTCTCTCTCTATACCACACAGCCACTGCCAGAATGTGAGTGAGGGGTGGTGTCGGTGATTCAAGACTGTTTGTTCTACCCTCCCTCTTTAAAGCCTCTTTCAGTGATATGAAGTCAAAACCAGGTATTGTGAGTGCTCACTTGATTTTCAGTTCTTACAAAGGTGCCTTTTTGTGTGGGTAGTTGTTAAATTGGTGTCCTTGTAGGGCAGATAGTTGGTGGAACCTTCTATTTGGCCATCTTGCTCCAACTACCATAATTTTTGAAGAAATAATGAAGATAAACAATATTTGAAGATTGGAATAACTAGTGGATATGAAAATATCTATTATTCCTATCGATGGCAAAGTCATAGTTATTGCTAAAGCTACTGTGGTTTATTGGCTACACATATAATTAAATGAAATATTAAATTTTAATTACAAGTTAGAGAAAATAAAGTGTAATTTTTTTCTCTTCCAAGTACATGGACCAAGTGAAGATGCCCTGCTATATAAATGGAAGATGCTGACTTCAGTGAAAACATCTGATAGGAATAGAAGACTTTGCCTGAGTCCAGGTTGCACAAAACCCACCACCTTTCACCTCTTTCCTCTTCTCTATTCTCATTCTATGTGGGATAGGCTTCATCTCTCAGCTCTAGGGGAACAATATTTAACCAAAAATGACCAGTAAAACTACCCGTGCCTCCTAGGAGACCCTCACTCTTTCTCACAGGATGTGATTATTAAAATTATTGCTGTTACTTTGTGATGTGGAAGAAATAACTGTTTTTAAGACTAGAGTCAATATTAAGAATAACACAACTAAAGGACAGAGAGGAACTTGGTCCAGAGGAAATAATGCAGTCTTTGATCAAGTCTTTCCTGACAACAACTATCTCTGGACTTTATATTATACCTCCTTTTCTTAAACCATGTTGGGTTTCGTTTTCCAGCACTTGCAAATGACATATAAATGTAGGATGGAGGTTTCAGGAAGATATTCCAATGGAAGCGATATTTTAGTTGAAGCCCAAGGATAGATTGGAATTAACTATTTGGGATAAAAGAAGAGAGGTAATTTTCCAAGCAGAAGAAAGAACATGTACCCAGGAAATATGGCTGGGGAGAACACGGTGTGTACAAAAGAAAGAAACTGATAAAATTTCAGGTCAATTAGAGCACAAAGAACAAGGGACAGAAAGTAGTAAGGTGAGGATGGAAAGGAGCGTGCACAGCTGTGGAGTCAGATGTAATGGCTTTGGTCATTATTGTAAGAGAAACTAGATGTCATGAAAATGATTGAAGCAAGAGAATGACATGATAATCTAAGTATTTGAGATCACACTATCCATAATATGCAGATCAAATGAGAAGTACAGGATAACCAGTTAAAAAGCTATTGCAAAAGTTGTTTTAAAAAACACTGAAAAGGCGAGGCAGGAGTCACAGAGAAGATATCATGACAGGAGCAGAGGTCAGAGTGATGTGGAACCAAAAGCCAAGGAATAGGAATTGCTTCCAGGAGCTGGGAAAGGCAAGGAAACAAAATTTCCACTAGATTCTCAAGTAGGAAATCAGTTTTCTCAATAACTTGACTTTAGCCCCATAAGACCCATTTCACACTTCTAACTTCCAGAACTGTAAGATAATAAATTTGTATTCTTTTAGCAAAAAAACAAACCCAGCAATTGCAGTCATCCATGAGAAAGGTGATGATAGCTTGCTTGGACCAGTATGCTACTCTGTTGCAGCAGTAGAAATTGAGAGAAATAGAAAGAAATTGAGAAATATTTAGGAGCTAAAATTGATAGGTCTTGATGATACCAAACCTGACCTCTGAATGTTGGACTGCACCAGAGATTCATTTTAGGCTTTCTTCTCTAGTCCCACTCTTTCCCTAGAATATCTCATCGCATTCCAAATATGGTCTCCAGCCCTGACCTCTTCTTCAAACTCTGTATTACACTCATTCTATTTCAAAGTCTCAAAGGCATGCCCAATCTATCCATCACCACCACCACCCTACTTTTGTCACATCACCACTGACACCTTTCCCACATCAGTAAGTGACACCACCCTTCTATCTATCTAGTTGCCCAAGCCTGGGAGTCATCTTTGATTTCTCTTTTTTCCTCATTCCCCACATTGAGCAATTTCCTGCTTACGGTTTTCTCTATCTTCAAAATACTTCTTTAATCTGTTTGTTTTCTCACCTCAACTACAAATACCCAAGTCCAACCATGTCTCTCACCTGAGTTAATTCAAAAAATACTTAAATGGAGTTCTTGCCTCTGCATCTTCCAATCCGTTTTTAAAATAGGGTCAGAGTGATAGTTAAAAATACAAGCCCTACAATGTTTTTCTCTGCATATTACGGTAGCCATATTATCACCCTTCATTAGCTTCCCTTTACATTTCCTTCTCTGCTTTCTCTTTTCCCCTTAGACACAATGTTCCAGCCATGCTGGTCTTCTGGACACCAAATCTCTTCTTATCTTCAGACCATTGTACTTGCTGTTTCCTCTGCCTGAAATGATCTTCACCTCTAGCTCACACCTTCCCTGTTCACAATCACCTCCCTGAAGAAGCCTTCCCTAACTATGACATCTAAATTTGGCTTCCCCTATTCCATCCAGTGTCTCCCTATGGCATGTTTGATTTTCTTTTGAACATCTTTCAAAATATGTATCCGCTTGCTTGTTATCATCTCCTTCCTTTCACTACGTATGCTGCATGATGACAAGAAAGTTGTTTATACCACCACGCCCCTAGCACTTTAGAGAATGGTGGTGCTTAGGAGGTACTCAATAATCACTTGATGAATGAAAAATAAGGGAATGGATTAGCTGTGATGTGTGAAGAGATATGAAGTTTCAAAAATCATCCCTCAGTTTCTGATTTGTTCCTTGACAAATGACTATGCCAATTACTGAGAGAGGGGATTCCAAAAGAAGACCAGTCTTAGGGGAAAGATCATGAACTTTGAACAGTGGACTTGGATATGCCTTTGAGACTTCCATGTGATGATATAAAATGGGCAACTGAATTTATGGGTTTAGAATGCAGAAAACAGAATTGTGTTGGACATAGAAATGTAAGTAATATAATTGGCATACAATCAGGAACTGGATATATGGGCGTAAAGATAGACTTGGGCATGTCCCGATGATATTTTCCTGTGGTTCTCCAGCTATTTTATCTGCATGTTTTCTTTAAAATATTATTGTCTGCACAATTTCTATTTTCCAAAAGCATCTTGTACCATGCATTGCCATATGTCTACTGTCAATTTCAATCAAATATTGCCAAAAGGTATCCTTGAAAGAATGCCTGTTTATGCCACTTTACTCACCAAATTACACTCATAGATAAACCAGTACCCATTTCCTTTTAACATTTGGTATTTTTATTTTTTCATTTCACTTATACTTTCTCATTATGAGTAAGCAGGGACTATACTGAAAGTCTTCCATTGATTTGACAATGAAATAAATATTTCTTCTTCCTTCGATGGCTTGATACAGTCTTCTTTGGCAATCCTATATTCAAAACCAGAGTTTTTTGATCCAATGAGGGGAAATAAACAAAGCTGTAACAATAGAGACAGTCAATACATAAAATATCTCCTACCGCCACTTTCTAATTATTTTTGTTTTGTTTGTTTTAAACATATTGCCTGAGGTTTTAGATGTTACCTGGTCAGGCAAGTAATGTGAGATCAGCCCTCTGGACTCAAACACCTAGTATATTCAGTCTGAGAAAGTCATTTCATGGAGGCAATTAGTTCAACTAACTGCTTGATTGCTCTGGTAAAATTGGCCAGTTGTCTGACCTTCTGTAGAACCTGGGAAGAAATTTTCTTCCCCCCATGAGTCTGGCAAAGATATTGTTTCTGCTTTCTCCAGATCAAAGGGGAACATCAGACTCCTGGGGCTTAAGTGACCCGACATTTTGTTGCATTAACACATTCAAGGAAAATATATGGGAAGAAACTCTTATTTCAGGGTTTAGTGAAAATCCAATTGTTGAACTTTGAGGGTACTTTTTGAATTGTAATAAAGCACATATTGAAGAGGATCTCCTAGTCATATATAGACAAATTCAATAAATACATTATAACTGCCAGTGAAAGTTCACTATTTTAGCTAGTGCTTGCTGCTAGTGACTTCCAAATTGTGGATCCCCAGAATTGTTGGGCAGACTTTCAGGGTGCTACAGAGGAGAAAATAATGCCAATGAGGCAAGACTTAAATTTGCATAGCATTTTACTTTTTATAAAATGCTTTTTATTATCTTAGTTGATTATTTAAATAATCCTGTGATGAGGGCAGGAGTTAATATCTCTATCTTTAAAAATGCAAAAATAGCAACTCAGAGATGTTAGGTAACTTTTCTATCCTTGTAGCTAATTAGGGATGGATCCAGGCTTGTAATGCATTTCTTTTTCTTTGCCTCTAAATCCAGTGCTCTTTCTGCTGTGCTCTACTATTCCCTCTCAAAACTCTTGAAATCAGAGCTCACATTTATAAATGTTTTAGCTTTCTATCTCCTCAACTGCAGTGGATGTGTATGTACAGGTAAATGTATTTAAAAGACACTGTGAAATACTTAAAATGCATTTCCAAATGATTTTGAATGCACATACCTAAATATACAAACTAATTAAACCTGCTAAATACATTTATTTTCATACATTCTAAAAACTGGTAAATGCTTGTATCATTAGACAGAAAGATATTATCAAATGCATTTGAAAAATGCACATCAGGCAAAATTCAGAAAATGTGTACAAGGTCATTTAGCTAGCATGTGGTTGAGCTTACATTTATCCAGACTTGACACTGTCTTCAGCAATGCTCGTTTTCAGGTGTTTTATGCAAATAAGGGAGAGAAGCACAGATTTCTAGAGTGGGATTAATTAATAGAGGACATTTAAGAATAGTCAATGTCTTTGTCTATCAGTGAGTCAGCTCTGTGCCATCCACTTTGGGTGAGACTGTCTTGTCAGGAGCTCAGTGCTGTTGCTTGGTAAGCACACCCCCTGCAAAATACAAAGGGGCACCCACCTTACATAAAATCTCCTTGTAGAGCAAAACAGGATTTAACAAAGGCTCAGTACATTTATTCAGGAGGACACCATGAAGGAAGAGAAAGGTTTTTTAAAAAAGAGATGGGTCAAAACCAGCAGAAGAGGGAAGACTTGTGGCTTTGAGAGAAAATATTTTACAAATAATAGAAAAAAGAGGTCAGGACCTGCTGGAGCCAGAACCTGTCTGTCAGCAGCCCTCATTCTCCTTCAGGTCCCTCTACAAATCCTGATAGCCTCAGGCCACATTTAAAGTTTAGCTAGTGCCTTCAAGTAAAGCACAGCTCCATTTTCTGGATGAAGCAGGGCATGCCAACCTAATACTTGGGGAGCTTGGGCCAGTCCAACAGCTGTTTTTCTACAGTTTTGATATCCTGTCTAGCTCAGTTCTCTGTAATTTGAAACTCTATGGATGCAGCTCCAGAACAAGGGTCACAATGACCATAAAAAAGGCTTTTTTTGGAACACAGCCATGCTCATTCAGTTGCACATATTATATACCCCTGTATCCCTGCTTTTGTTCCACAGTGGAACAAAAGTTGAGTAGGTATGACAGAGACACATAATGTTCAGCAATCTAAAATATTTCTCTTCTAATCCATTACAGAAAAAGCTTGGCAACCCCTGCTTCAGACCTATTATATTCCCTGAACCTCTCACTTCACTAGTCCCCTGCCTTGCCTCCCTGCTCTGGACTTGCTAGAATTTCTAATTTCTGCCTCATCTCTCAAGATTTTCCTTTTTTTGAAGTACTTGAGATACTTTGATTTTGATACCCAATCTTGTATCCACAACCACTAACATCCTGCTTCACAGCACAATCTATTAAAAATACATCTGTAAGTCTTATTTGATTAGCATTTGTTTTGCTGAGGGAAAAAATGATGACGTTCTGCCTCATGTCTCGTCTTGGCTTAATTAACACATTAGCAGCTAATAAAGATGCACAGGGTCCCATCACATGACATGGTGGTGTGTTTGTTCATGTTTGCCACAACTGGAGTTCTCTACCATGCTCAGTAAGATGAACCATTCTTACAGAGGATACTACAGAGCACAGAAGACAGTTACGGGAACTGGAATAGAAAGGAATAAGAAACAACATCCAAACCTGTCTTAATGCTAGGAAATGACTTGAATTTCTATGAAGAAACAGAAGGTTTAAAAATCAATCATTTCTGAAGACTTACCATGTTTCAACTAACACACTTATAATTGTATTGCCATTGTCACACATCAAATGTCACAATCATCAAAATATCCCCCAAGAAGCAGGGATCTTGCTTATTTTACAGGTGAGAAACCGAGGCACAGTAGGACCACATAGATACCAATTGGCAAACCAAGGATTAGAACCCATTTCCCTGACATCACTGTTTGTGGCAGTGACTGCTACACTTTACTGTCTCCCTCAGCTCCACTTTGCAATATCCAGTTAAGACAATCAGAAATTTGTTCTGCAAATCCTAAAAAAAAAAAAAACAGGGCTAAGTGTAAATGAGTCACAATGGTGTGTTGAGGAAGAAGAGAAGCAATGGATTGAGTGAGAATTTATGTTCTAGATAATTTGAAAGGAAAATCTGACTGATATTATTCACTACACTGTGAAATTCAGTATAAAATTAGCCTGTCTGGAGTCTCATCCAAAGGCAAATTACCTTTTGAGGATTGTCTAAAAGACTGTATGCTTATCAAAATCTCCTCAAAGACAGTAATATTCCAGTGCACACAATCACATCCCATAGGAAAAATTAAGGGGGAAAACACACCAGGATCCCATTGATCCTCTACTCCAGTTTATTCCTCTTACAGATGTGGATATTGAAACCCAGACAAGGAAGGTGACTGGCTGGGTGTCATACAACTGTTTGTGGCAGAGGCCACATTGCATTACAATTTCTATCACCCTATGACCCATGACACAGTGACTAATGCATGGACTTTGGAGGCAGACAGACTAGGGGCTGTAACCCCGAGGAGTTGGACTGATGGCTAGTAGTGAGCTGTTCTCTTAATGCCCCTCTCCATCTCCAGGAACACAGAGAGTTTGTCCCTTCTCATTGGTACCTAAACTCAAATTAGGTCATCAGATGCCACTAAAGATAATCACCACTGGCACAGAGCATTATATTCTACAAAGTGCCTTCACAATGATGGTGATTATTCATATCTAACAGAGGAGGAAATCTGTATGAAGAGAAATAAGGAAACTGCATCTACGTCATCCCAAGAGGCAATGCCCTTCCTCCTAGCTGGGCCTGACTCCCAATAAAGAAAAGAGACATTCTCATGGGTTCTCTAGAAAGGCATACCCCTTTCTTCCTCAGGGCTTTCACTAATCACAGTCTTTCATGGGCTTAACACCTATGCATGGGTCAGATATCATTTCAAATTCTTTATGAACAAATTTTCTCTGGTTTTCCAAATCACCCTGAAATGGAGTCTATCGTACTTTTATTAGTGGAGTTTATGTGAGTTCTTAAGAATGGAAAGGTCTTACTGTAGTCACTGATTCAACAAACCTGATGGCAGTTCTAAAATGTCTAAAAAATATTACCTAGACTGTGGCAAATCCTCACAAGAATCCTGTGAGATGGGTATCATCATCTCCATGTGCACATAAGTAAACTGAATCCCTTTAAAGATTAAGCAACTTGCCACAGGTCACAGTGTAAGTGGCAAAGACAGAATTCAAGTAGTTTGCTCTACATTATGCTGCTTTTTTCTCTTGTGAAGTCTTGTCAAATCCCTATGACAATCAAACAAAATTATTGGTAAAGTAGATTGATCCCATTTTATCCATGGGGAAACTAAAGCATGGAGGGTCAAAACTATTTGCCAAGCCACATAACTAGTAAACTGGAGAGTCAGGATTCAGATTGAGTTTTCTGATTAAGTTTTGCAGCTTCCTCTTGTGTTTTATCAAATGCCCCACTGACACCTACATGTCTATTCATTTTAGCAAATAATCTTGCTTTAGGAAATGATTGCTAGGGATACAGAGATGTGTTTCTGAAATTCCATTATCCTTTGCATCTAAATTATATACATATAGTTTACGATTAGGGTAGAGATAAGTGGGAAGATTTCTGCCATGAGCTATAGAATAAAAATCTGAGTTGGAGTTCTTCAATTTTGAGGTTCCTCTGGAGAATTAATCTGTATTCTAGGCCCATAAAAACCATTCTGGCTGTTCATATAATATTTCCAACACATTTGTAATAATAATTCTCTTTTACTTCCCTGTAAATGGGGATATGCTGCTCAAATAGACCATTTTTATTTACCTTGTGAGTCATATATGAAAAAAAATACAGCCAACTTGAAAGCAGCACAGTATTTCCTTGGGGTCTTTCACTGAAGGAATTGCATGATGCATCAGACTTGATGGCAAATGAGACACAGAGGGGCCCACTGATGCACCAAATCCCATTTTGGGAAGTCTGTTTCAGTAGAAGATTGCAAACAAGCCATTATTTTGTCAGTTGGAACAAAAGCCCTGATTAAAAATTAAAATACATTCTGTACTGATAAATATACAGCTGCCTAATTACTTGCAAGATTTATATTTTGCTGTGTTAATTCCCTCATAATGGTTATTTCTTACTCCATATAAACCAGAACACAATGAGCTTGACAGGGACAAGCTTCAATAAACATTTGGTTGTGCCTTTTATTAGATAGATCAGTTCCTGATTATTAATGTTTTCAAAATCTTACTTTAAAATATTTCTCCAGGAGAAAACTGTGTCCCTTCCATCATGTGGCATTCAATGTAGGCAGAAATGTATCTTAAGAGACACCTAATTATGGCTAATTTAAAATTTCTTATCTGCCAACTGGATCTTCTAACTTGCCATCACTCAACTTTCCTCAACATTCACATACATACGCAACCATAACATAAAGCAGTAAAAAAAAAAAAAAAAAAAAAAAAAAAAAAAAAAAAAACTAGAGTAAATAAAACAAAACAGAATAACAGCTATCGGTAGCTTAGAGGAATTTTTGCAAGGTGAGATGGAGAAGCAAATGGGAGCCGTGATCAAAGGGAGATTACAAAAATAAATGAAAGAGGCATTGGTAGAATAGGTAGCCCCAAGAGCCCATCTCTCCACAGAAAGATTTAAAAATCACGCAAAAACTGTCAGAATCAACTTTATCAGAACTCTGATAAACCGTCACAAGTTTACAGCAATCAAGTAAATGTTGAATCAAGGAAATGAACCTTTAAAATGGTAGGAAAGCTTTGTAACATTTTTATATGCCCTTGCCCCATCTCCTCCCTGGCTCAGGTCAGCAGCTGACTTGAAGACATCAGTCCACATACCCAGTGTAGGACTCTGAACCCTACTTCTACTTTGGAGTAAAGCAAACTTTATTTGAAAGGATTGGGTTTGTTTGTCCTAGATGTTTTAAGGCTATCTGAAGGCCTGGCACAAGGCACTTGTGTTTGTTTCACTAATTAAGAACTTAGGGGAGAAAAGCAGTAGATATTGCTCAAAAACACGGTAAGTTAAATTAACAACACACAGCCGCCTGGGAAAAAGACTATGGCTGAGACATACAATAGAGTCCCAAAACATGGAAGGAAAAACTGAGGATGAAGTTTCTTGAAATTAGGACATTAAAAAGTGCGTGTGTGTACTAGGGACCTTAGGGAGTCACACACATGCCCAGCACAGGGAGCATGCTCAGAAAAGACTTGAGAATACCTTAAGCCCTAAGGCTTCACCTTTGGCTGATCTCCAATCTCAGCACAAGCAGAAAGTGAAGCCTAAGACAGAGTTGTAAACAGCCAGGCTAAGCAATGCAGCACTGCCCCAAGAGTACCCCAGCACAGAACCAAATCTCTTCAAAGAGAATATTCTCTGTGAATATTCTCTCTCCCTCTCCTCTCCTCTCCTTTCTTTTTCTCCTCCTCCTCCTCCTTCTTCTCTTCTTCTTGTTCTTCTTCTCCTCCTCCTCCTTCGTCTTCCTCTTCTTCCTCTTCTTTTTCCTTCTCCTTCCTCCTTCTCTCTCTCTCCCTCTCTCCCACTCTCCCTCTCTCCCTCTCTCCCACTCTCCCTCTCTCCCCCCACCCCAATCCTCTCTTTCTCTGTTGGCAGATAGCATTTAAGAAAACTTTTGTCAAGACATCAGCTAAAGGCAAGCTGAAGGAATAGTAATTTAAAAAAACATACAGGAAGAAAAACACAGACTTTACAAAAATCATTTAGAAAAGTTGCTAAAACAAAGAGGTATAGCCTATAGCAAACAACACAAACAAACCTGGAGGAGAAAAAGATCCTAATTCCCAGAGTTACTAAGTTGTAACATGAAAATGTCCAGTTTTCAACAAAAGTTGACAAAGCATGCAAAGAAACAAGAAAGTATGGGCCATTCCTAGAAGAAATGTAAAAAAATATATATATCTCTCAAGAAGCAAGACATTAAACTTACCAACAGAAACTATACATAAATAATTTTAAATATGTTCAAATTGTTAAAGGAAACCATAGACAAAGAGCTAAAGGAAACCAGGGTAACAACGCAGGAACAGAGAATAGCAATAAAGTGATAGGAACTATAATGAAGAACTAAACATAAATTTGGAAACTTAAAGGTACAATACCTGAAGTGAAAAACTCACTAGAAGGTTTCAACTGCAAATTTGGACAAGCAGAAGAAAGAATCAATTAAACTGAAAAGAGATTAGTTGAAATTATCCAGTCTGAAGAGAAGAATAAAAGATGAATGAAGTAAAATGAACAGAGCTTAAGAGACCTAAGAGACACCATCAAGCATAGCAACACATACATAGTGGGAATTCCAGAATAGGAGAAAGTCAGAAAAAGCATTTAAGAAATAATGCCGAATTCCAAAATTAACAAAAGATGCAAATCCACATACTCAAGAAACTCAACGAACTCCACAAAGAATAATGGCAAAGATAGCTGCACCAAGAGATATTATCAAATTGTTGAAAACCAAGAACAAACGGAAATCTTTGAAAGCAACAAGCCAGAAGCAATTTTCATGTACAAGGGCTATTCAATAAAATTAACATCAGATTTCTTATCAGAAACCATGGAGACCAGAAGACAGTAGGGAGACATTTTTAAAGTGGAGGAAAAAAATTACTGTCAAACAAGAATTCTATATGCACAAAATAATCCTCAAAAGTGAAGGAGAAAAGAAGATATTCTCAGATAAACAAAATCTACAGGAGTCTATTGCTAGCAGACCTGCCCAGAAAATATAAAAAGAAGGCATTCAGATTGAAATTAAAAGACATTGGACAATAACAAGAAGCCATTTGAAGAAATAAATAACTCTGGTAAAGGTAACTATGTAAATAAGTAAATATAGAAGCTAGTATTATTACACTTTTCTTTGTAACTTCTTGTATTAGTTTGTTTTCATGCTGCTGATAAAGACATACCCAAGACTGGGCAATTTACAAAAGAAAGAAGTTTAATTAGACTTACACTTCTATGTGGCTGGGGAAGACTCACAATCATGGCAGAAGGCAAGGAGGAGTAAGCCACATCTTACATGGATAATGGCAGGCAAAGGGAGGAGTACTTGTGCAGGGAAACTCTTCTTTTTATAAACATCAGATCTCATAAGACTTACTCATAATCACGAAAACAGCATGGGAAAGAACTGCTCCATGATTCAATTACCTCCCACTGGGTCCCTCCCACAACACATGGGAATTCAAGATAGATTTGGGTGGAGACACAGCCAACCATATCATTCCATCCCTGGCCCCTCCCAAATCTCATCTCCTCACATTTCAAAACAAATCACGTCTTCCAACAGTCCCCCAAAGTCTTAAATCATTTCAGCATTAACTCAAAAGTCCATAGTCCAAAGTCTCATTTGAGACAAGGCAAGTTCCTTCTGCCTATGAGCCTGTAAAATCAAAAGAAGATTAATTACTTCCTAGATAAAATGGAGGAATAGCATTGGGCAAATACAGCCATTCCAAATGGGAGGATTTGGTCAAAACAAGGGGGCTACAGACCTCATGCAAGTCTGAAATCCAGTGGGGTAGTCAAATCTTAAATCTCCAAAATGATCTTTGACTCCATGTCTCACATCCAGGTCACACTGATGCAAGAGGTGGGTTCCCATGGTCTTGGGAAGCTCCACCTCTGTGGCTTTACAGGGTACAGCCTCCCTCCCAGCTTCTTTCATGGGCTGGCATTGAGTGTCTGCAGCTTTTCTGGGCACACGGTGCAAGACGTCAGTGGATGTACCATTCTGGGTCCTGAAGGAGGGTGGCCCTCTTCTCACAGCTCCATTAGGCAGTGCCCCAGGAGGGACTCCATGTTTGGGCCTTGACTCCATATTTTCATTCTGCACTGCACTAGCAGAGGTTCTTCATGAGAGCCCTGCCCCTGCAGCAAAATTTTGCCTGGACATCCAGGCATTTCCTTACATCCTCTGGAATCTAGGTGGAAGTTTCCAAATCTCAATTTTTGACTTCTGTGTACCCGCAGGCTCAATACCATGTGAAAGCTGCCAAGGCTTGAGGCTTGCATCCTGTGAAGCCAAGGCCCAAGCTCTACATTGTCCCCTTTCAGCCATGGCTAAAGTGGCTTGGATACAGGGCAGCTAGTCCTGAGGCTGTACACAGGATTGGGACCCTAAGCCTGATCCACAAACCACTGTTTCCTCCTAGGCCTCCAGGCCTGTGATGGGAGGGACTGCTATAACTACCTCTGATATGCCCTGGAGATATTTTCCCCATTGTCTTGGGGATTAACATTCAGCTCCTCGTTACTTATGCAAAGTTCTGCAGCCAGCTTGAATTTCTCCTCAGAAAATGGGTTTTTCTTTTCTATCACATTGTCAGGCTGCAAATTTTCTGAACTTTCATTCTATGCTTTCTTTATAGAAGAGAATGCTTTTAACAGCATTTAAGTTACCTTTTGAATACTTGCTGCTTAGAAATTTCTTCCACCAAATACCCTAATTCATCTCTCTCAAGTTCAAAGTTCTACAAATCTACAGGGCAAGGGGAAAATGCCACCATTCTCTTTGCTAAAATATAACAAAAGTCACCTTTGCTCCAGTTCCCAACAAGTTCCTCATCTCCATCTGAGATGACCTCAGCCTGGACTTTATTGTCCATATCATTCATTATCAGGCTTTTGGTCAAAGCCTTTCAACAAGTCTCTAGGAAGTTCCAGACTTTCCCACATTTTCCTGTCTTCTTCTGAGCCCTCCAAACTGTTCCAAATTCTGTCTGTTACCCAGTTCCAAAGTGCGTTCCACATTTTTGGGTATCTTTTCAGCAGAGCCCCACTCTACTGGTACCAGTTTACTGTATTGGTCCATTTTCATGCTGCTGATAAACATATACCCAAGGCAGGGCAATTTACATAGGAAAGAGGTTTAATTAGACTTACAGTTCCACATGGCTGGGGAAGCCTCACAATCATGGCAGAAGGCAACGTGGAGCTTGTACAGGAAAACTCCCCTTTTTATAACCATCAGATCTCATGAGACTTGTTCACTATCACAAGAACAATATGGGAAAGACCTGCCCCCATGATTCAATTACCTCCCACCAGGTCCCTCCCACAACACATGGGAATTTAAGGTGAGATTTGGGTGGGGATTATGGCCAAACTATATCACTTCTCTTCTAGTTGTCTAAATGATTTAAAAGAGAAATGCATAACACAGTAATTATAAAGCAATGTAATGGACACACAATGTATGAAGATGTAATTAAAACAAAAAATATATAAAGGATAGAGATAGACTTGTATTATAGGAGTTTTTATGCTTTTGAATCTAAGTTGGTATCAATTTAAAGTAGATTGCTATATATTTAGGATACTAATTGTAATCTTCATGATAACCATTATGAAAAAATATATATGTAAATAAAAAGGTGATCAAATACAGTACACTGCAAAATATCAATTAAACACAAAGAAAGTAATAAAGGAAATAAGGAACAAAATAGGTTAAAGACATATAAAAATTAGCAAAATGGTAGTAAAAAGTTCTTCATCAGTTATTATTTTAAATTTAAATGAGTTAATATTTTTAATTAAAAGGCAGCTATGGGCATAATCAATTAAAAAACAAGACTTAATGACATTCTGTCTATAAAAATTCACTTTAGACCCAAAGAAACAAATACATTGAAAGTGAAAAGATGAAAAAAGAATATCCCATGCAAATAGTAACCCAAAGAAAGCTGGGTTGGCTACATTAATACCAGACAAGTACACTTTAAGTAAAAACCTGTTACAAAAAACAAAGAACATTATATATTGATAAAATGGCCAGTTCATCCAAAAGATATAACAGTTAGAAACATATATGCACCTAACAACAGAGCCCCAAAATATATTAAGGAAACATTTACATATTCGAAGAGGGAAATAGATAGTTTTAAAATAATAGCTGGAGACTTTATTACTTCATTTTCAATAATGTAAACATATCTCAAAAGAAGTTCAATAGGAAATAGAAAAACAGAACAACACTGTAAACCAACTGCACCTAACAGGCTCCACCAAACAATAACAGAATACACATTCTTCTCAAGAATGTGCATAGAGAATATTTTCCAGAATAGACCATATAATAGGCCATTTAAAAAGTTTTGATGAACTTTAAAAGGTTGAAATGATACAGAATATCTTCTCTGACCACAGTGAAATGAAGCTAGAAATCAACAACTGAGGGAAACTAAAAAATTCACAAAATATGTAGACATTAAACAACACATTCTTAAACACCCAATAGTTCAAAAAATAAAACACAGAAAAACGTAAACTACTTTAAGGTGAATTAGAATAAAAATACAACATAACAAACATGAAGAATGCAGAGAAAGCAGTGCTAAGAGGGACATTTATAGCTGTAAACACATAGACAAACAAAAAAGAAACATCTCGATTAATAATCTATCTTTATACCCTAAGGGACTAGAGAAAAAACAAACTAAACTGAAAGCTAGTAAAAAGAATGAAAAAAAGAACAGAGACAAATAAAATAAAGGGGAAAAATAGAATCAATTAACCCGAAGTTATTTCTTTGAAGATATGAACAAAAAAATGACAGACTTTTAGCTATATAATTTTTAAAAGGTTAACAAAACTATTCAATGAAGTGGAAATAGTCTCTTCAACAAACTGCTGGGAGAGCTGAATATACACATACAAAATAAATGAAGGTAGAACCCTACTTCACATCACTTACAAAACTTAAACTGGATCAAAGAGCTAAATACAAAAGCTAAAACAATTAAAAGTCTTAGAATAAAACATAAGAGGTAAATCTTCAGGACCTTAGATTTGGCAATGGCTTCTTAGATGTAACATGAAAATAAAAAGCAACAAAAAATAAGATCAACTGGATAAATTTAAAACATTTGTGCATCAGAGGACATTATCAATAAAGTGAAAAACAACCTGAAGAATGTGGAAAATATTTGCAAATTGTGTATCTGATAAAAGAGTCTAATATTCAGAATACATAAATAATTTTTACAACTCAACAACAAAAAATAAACAACCCAGTTGAAAAATGGGCAAAGTATTTGAATATAAATTTCTCCAAAGAGGATATACAAATGGCCAACAACCACATGAAAAGATACTCAATATCATAAACCACTGCAAATCAAAACCTCAAAGAAATACCACTTCACACCTATTAAGGTGGCTACAAAGAAGAGGAAGGAAGAAAGAAAGGAGGAAAGGGGGGAGGGAGGGAGAAAGAAAAGTATGTTGGCAAGAATGTGAAAAATGGAACATTCATACATCTCTGGTGGGAATATAAAATGGTTCTGTCACTTTCAATAACAGTTGGGTGGTCCCTCAGAAAGTTAAACATAGAATCACCATATCGTCCAGCAATTCAACTCCTAGGTATATACACAAAAGAATCAAAAACAGGTACACAATAAATACATGTACATACATGTTTATATCTGTACTGTGGTCAATAGTAACAAAATTGAAATGACACAAACTTCCATCAATAGATAAACGGGTAAACAAATTGTGCTATATACAAACAATGGAATACCATTCAGCCCAAACAAGAAAATGAACTGGTGAAACATGCTATAATGTGGATGTATCTCAAAAATACTGTGCTAAGTGAAAGAAGCAAGATGCAAAAAGTCACATATTATGTGATTCCATTTATAAAAAAATACTGAGAATAGATAAATTTATAGAGACTGAAACTACAAAGTTATAGCAAATAAAAAATGGTACTGGCATCAAAACAGACACATGGACCAATGGAACAGGATAGAGAGCCCAGAAATAAATCCACACATTTAGTCAATTGATTTTCAACAAAGATGTTGAGCATACACAATGGGGAAAAAGCAGTCTCTTCAATGAGTGGTGGTGGAAAAATATTTCCTTCATGCAAAAAAAATATAATTATACCATTACCTTACATCATATACAAAAATCAACTCAAAATGGATGAAATATTTAAACATAAGACCTGAAACTGTAAACTACTAAAAGAAAACAGGGGGAAACTCCATGATAGCAGTCTGGGCAATGATTTGTTTAATATAATCCCAAAAGCACATGCAACAAAAACAAAAATACACAAATGAAATTACATTAAATTAAAAACCTACACACAGCAAAGGGAACAATGAATAAAGAGACAATCTTTGGAATAAAAAAATTGCAAACCATACATCTAATAAGGGGGTACTATCAAAAATACATTAAAAATTAAACCAACTGAATAACAACAAAACAAATAACCTCATTGACAAATGAGCAAAGAATCTAAATTAACACTTTTCAAAAGAAGAAACTCAAATGGCCAACAGACATGTTGAAAAAATGCTCAACATAGTCATAAGGGAAATGCAAATTAAAACCACAATCACCTCACACGTTAGAATAGCTATTTTCAAAAAGATGAGAGGTAACAAGTGTTGGTGAGGATATAAAGAAGAGGGAACACTTGTACACTATTAGTGAGATGTAAATTTGTAAAGCCATTATGCAAAACAGCACAGAAGTTCCTCAAAAAAATTAAAAATAGAACTACCATATGCTCCAGTAATCCCAGTTATGTGTACATATCCAAAGAACATGAAATCAGTTTATTAGATACCTGATTTCTCATGTTCATTGGAGCATTACAATAGCCAAGATATGAAATCATTACAATAGCCAAGATATGAGCGTTACAATAGCTAAGATGGACACAACCTAACTGTTAATCAATGGATTAACTGACAGGGAAAATATAGTGTGTACATATACAATGGGATATTTTTCAGTTTTAGAAAATGTAATCTGGTCATTTGCAACAACATGGATGAACCTTCCAAGCTAAGTGAGATAAGCCATCCAGAAAGACAAATACATGATCTTCTTTATATGTGGAATCTAAAAAAGCCAAACTCATAGAAGCAGAGAGTTACTATGGGCTGGGGGTTGTAGGATATGGAAGATTTTGGTCAAAAGACATAAAATTTCAGTTATAAAGGAGAAATAACCTCAAGAAATCTATTGTACATCATAGTGACTATAGTCAGTAACAATATAGAGTCAGCCCACTATATCTACGGGTTTCACATCTGTGAGTTCAACTAACCATGAACAAAAATATTAAAAAAACAAAAAAAGGATAGTTGATTCTGTATTGAACATCTACAGACTTTTTTCTTATTATCATTCCCTAAACAATGCTGTATAACAACTATTACATAGCCCTTACATTGTATTAGGTATTATAAATCACCTAGAGAGGATTTAAAATATACCTGAGGATATGTGTAGGTTATATGCAAATACTACACCATTTCATGTAAGGGACTTGAGCATCCATGGAGTTTGATATCCACAGGGGGTCCTGAAACCAATCCCCTATGGATACAAAGGAAGGACAGTGTTATATACTTAAGTTGCCAAGATAGTAGATAAGTATGTGAAGTAATACATATGTTAATTAGCTTGATTTAGCCATTCCACAATGTATACATATTTCAAAACATCACATTGTACATCATAAGTACATACAACTTACATTTTCAATTAAATAAATAAATGGAAGAGATGATATAAGATCTACAACAGAGGTGTAAGCATGGAAGGGCAAAGGGAGGTGAAGTCAGAGACAAAATGTGATGCACATTTGAAACATGGGAGGAGAGAGACTCTTTGCTTCCTTCTACCCTGACCTCTACAATTTATTCTGTACATGGCTGCCAGATTTACCTTAAAAAAAAAAAAAAAAAAAAAAAAAAAAAAAAAAAAAAAAAACCTGGACATTACATTCCTGCTCCTCATGCTCAAATTTAGAAGCTTTTATTCTCCCCTGTCAACTCCCATTGCACACATGCCAGCTCCTCCATTCCGACTTGGCTTAACCTTTCCTCTCTGCCTCCTGAAACTTTCTTTCCCTACCGCGCCACTCCCTGAAACACAATGTGCTCCAGCATCTTTTCCACTCGCTGAACACCATAATATTTTTTCTATCTCTGTGTCATTACTCATACTGTTAACCCTTTTGGATGAATCTTCTTACTTAGCTCAAATACCATTTTTGCGATATTGTTGCCAGGGAATAACTAAGCTGAAAGTAGCTCATGGTAGTGAAGAGAACACAGACTTTGAAAACAGGTAGGTATAAGCTATCCAACTTGGATATGTGTCAATCATGTACATTCTGACCCTTTTTCTAATTTTGGTGAGTCTCAATTTCCTCATCTGTTTAATGAGATTACTAATATCTCATTGATTTTTCATGATAGTAACATTAAGAACCTATGCAGAGCTCCTCTCACTTGGCTGATATGCAATAAATGTTATCTACTCACTTTCCCAGTGGCCCATGAGAAGTATATACTTACTACAATTTTTAAAATAGCAATACTTTCTCAAATGTGTATGGTGTCAATATTTCAAAGCATCTTTACTTACAGTTTCTCATTTGATCTGCAGAAAAATATTTGTTACCTATTAAGATAATGTGAACTAGAGAGGACAAAATCTAAACTCTAAGTGACTTTAACAATAAATTTATTATGTTTCTTTATGGAAGTTTCTGAGGCAGAATTAACTCCACATATAGCCTTAGCAATGAACAATGGAAAATATAGGTACTTTCCATCTCTCTCATCTTCTATCCTCAGCATAGACTCCATCATGTGGCTGATTCTCCTCAGAGTTGCAAGAGAGCCACCATCAACAAATGAGAATACATGCTGTTTTGGCCCATGCAGCTAGAGAGATCCTCTTTATTAAACCTATGTAATACCTCTCCTCAGTCTGATTAGATCAAATTAGTATGTGCTCATAGCTAGGCCAATAATATTTATACTTACCAGGGGGATGCCATAAACTGATTGGCTACCCCAATTATCTGGGATAAAATGGATTTGGGGAGCTCATCTCAGTACCCAACATGGTGAGTGTGCATTGTTTGTTCCAGAAAGAAAATGTTCAGCCTTAAATCACATAGGTAATTCATGCCTAACCTGGAACTGAAGCCCAAGTTCCCTGACCCCCTGACTCATGTTCTTCTTATATTAAGCATAGAAACCATATTGGTTAGGTTTTTTTAGGCTTCCAAGTTATTATATAATGTTATATTATAAATATATGTCATAAAAAGAGTCCAGAGAAAAATAAGCTGAGTCACAAAAGGACATGAAAGAAAATTAAATGTATATTACAAAATGAAAGAAGCTGATCTGAAAATGTTACAGCCCAATGGACTTGCCTTGCTCTTCTTGCAAGATTTATATATTTATAACATTTTCTGCACAGAAAAAGCCAACACACTGAGACTGCAAGTGTTGCAGAATTCAGGCACCTATTATAATTTTAACTTCTGGCCTTTCATTAGTTTTCCAAGGGTGATTTCCATTTTTGAACAGGGAGGGAGTATGTTTTGGGAAGAGGCTGTTAAGCCTCTGCTTTAAAGTTAAGTAATAAACTAAATTACTCAGCTAAATTATAAACTAATTTCCTCCCATAGTTAGCTTGGCCTAAACACAGGATTGAGCAAAGGCAGTTAGCTTAAGAGGTGAGAAGCAAAACAAAGTCAGTTATGTTCAATTCTGTCACTGGTATAATTTTGCAAAGGTGGTTTCAAAAAGCCTACATAATTTATTATTACAAATATACAACATTCTGGAAAAGGAAAACTATGGAGATGGTGGTTGCCAGGAGTTGGGGGTGGGGAGGGACAAATAGGTGGATACTCTAATGGTGGATACATGTCATTACATTTGTCAAAACTAATAGAATGTACTACAACAAGAGTGAACCCTAATGTAAACTATGAACTTTGAGTGGTGTTCTCTCAATGTAGGTTCATGGATTGTAACGAATGTACCAATCTGGTTCAGGATGTTGATACTGGGAGAGGTGGGGGTGTGAGGGGGCAGGGAGTATGTGGGAACTCTCTGTACTCTCTGCTCAGTTTTGCCACGAACCTAAAGCTGCTCCAAATTAGAAAATAATAATAATAAAATAGGGCTCTAGAATGTTTTGATTTTGCAGCCCAATGGCATTACTCAGTTTCTCTTCATCTCTTCTCTCCACCATTTGCAATAGCTCACTTCGCCCTGGGCTGGCTCCCCTCAAGAGTAAGACGGCTTCTGAAATTCAAAACATTACACCCATACACAACAAAAGCCTAAGGCAGAAAAAATAAAAAAGACAATGCTTTCTGAAATCTGCTTAATAGGAGAAGTCCTTTAAGGGTCTGCCCTTTTGGGTTTTGGCCAGAATTAGGTCACAAGCCTATCATAAATAAATCACTGAATAAGAGATTGAGATCCCCATGTTTTAATCAGGACTTGCTCAGAGCCATGTCGGGAAGTGGTAGATACCTAAACTTCAACCATCCTTCTGTTAGAAAAAAAAAATGGGGGAACAAATATTAGAAAGGAAAGTAACAATTTCTAGTACTGAGAACACTACTAGAGGAAGTTACTTGTTAGAAGGCATTTCTGCTCTTCCCTTTACCTCTTCCCTGATGTTCATAGACAAGAGCCCGTACAAAGTGGTCCCACTGTTGACTGAAGTAGTGGGCTATACCTAACTGAAGAAGGCCCAAAAAGGGAGCCAAAGAGGACAATTTTTGTTGTTGCTGTTTGTGTATCTGAATAAGCAATAGACCAAGCCACTATCGTAAGCATTTTGAGGAAGGACATTTTGAAAAGTGGCTCATTTTCATTAAAATTTATTGGCCTGTGATAGACAAAGCTGCAACTTGTATCATCAGTGACTTAGCCAGGGACTTTGTTGTCTCCTTCTAATGGTGTCAAGTCCAATACTCTTCCCCTGTGAAGAAGCTCGTCAAAAATCTTAACCAGACTTTTCTGTTTTGTCCTTGTAGCCTCTCACCTTTAATGTCTCTGTAGATTTATTAGAGAATAGAATTCAATCTTCAGAGTTTAGTTCCTCACTTCTCAAGCAGAACTGCTTATTCTTATGCCCAGGGGAATAGAATGCTGCACAAGAATCCCTCTACAGCAGTGGCTTTCACCTTGGACACACATAAGAAACCCTTGCCCAGCTCTACAAATATATGCAGAAGTTGCAGCTCTGAGATTCCGAGAATTTCACTGAGAACTGAGGTAGGTTGCAAACCACAAGATTCAGGAAATGAAGGATGTTTTAATTTATTAAAGTAAATATGGCTATCTTATGGAGCAAAATTGCTTAAATTTTTTAAGTAAAACAGCATCATTCAAAAAAATTATTTTTGAATTTTCTATAACAATTTTCTGTAGTTCCTTCAAGTCGTGTCAAACAACCTGAAGATATTCATGTATTCTTGTTGGCCATTAGATGAAATGGAGGGAAAAGTTTTGAAACATATTCCTGGTAAGAAATATACTAAGTGCCCCTCAGAAGCCATGGCAGGTGGAGGAGGTTTTATGATGACTGTATGCAGAATTCATTATGCAGCTAGTGTCTAATAAGCTTGAACTTTCACAGTCTTAAGATGGTACAGATGTTCTTTATGGCTTAATAAAAATTCCTTCTTGAAGTTTACATTATCAAGTTGCAGTATTACACTCTTCTCTCTTCTCGACCTTTCTGCAGCTGGTTCACTGTCCTTAAAACTCCTCACTACACTTATTCTGAATAAGTAGGGATGCTGTGTCATAATCCACAATCAATCAACATAAATAAAACAATTCAGCACAGATGTGACCTGAATATCCATTTAGATTCTGCTAATTGCGCAAAGCAGTGACACAAAGGTTTCAAGGTCAGACAAACCAACAGTGAATTTGCTCTGTGGAAAAGCACAAAGGAGACCATGCTGCACTTTTTTATTGTAATTGCTTATTTGCAGAATTTCAGAGAGCTTGACACTCTGAAGACATTCTATAACTTATCCCAACTGCTTTTTCTTCAGGTCACAATGAAAGTGTAAGAAAAAAAACTTGGTTGCTACAAAGCTTCATAAATGTAGATTTAGCCTAATCTAATCCCTCCTAGAGACAAAGCAAAGTGGAAGAGAAAGAGCATGGGCTTTGGATTCAATCCTGCAGGGCTTGAAATGTGGTTTAGCTCATTATTAGTGATGAACTCTGGCACATTTTATTTAACTTAACTTAGCCTGTGATTCTCCTCTTTATGAGGTGGATCAAAAACCTGCATTTGATTCTGACTCTCAATAAGAAGCAGAATTAGCCCAGGCTGCTATCTCCTACTACTAACATAGATGGTGGGGTGAGGGACCTATTGAAGTAAACTTTTAAAAAGCTAGGAAATAACTGAGACAACTGTGGGCAACACTGGGAAAGTGGGAGAGCTATGTGAATTATTGCACAGGTACGCGGTTGGGGCTCCCGTACAAGGCAAGGGACCAGTCAATGAAGTAAAGAGAGATAAATTAGAAAAAGCCATTTGAGAACATCTCTTGCCTTCAGACCATCAGTGCTTCCTCCTCATGACTCAGACCACTGGGGCAGGCGTGCAGGTCCACAAAAGCTCTCATAGAGAGAGGAGCTCAGAAAAGCAGGTATGGATTGAATTACCCCTTCTCTTCAAACCACAATGGTGGTTTATAATGTAAGGAATCTCTTCTCCCCATCATGAAGGTGGAGTGAAACAGCTGAAAATAAAATCCTTGCTGGAAGAGTTGTTCAGTGTGGATAAAGAGTCTGTAACTCTTCACATTAAAGTTTTCACTCCTCTTTTGAACTCACTGAGATCATCACCAAAAAAAGTTCTGGTATTCAAGCCCTTATCTTAACATGGACCTAGAGGACAAATGAGTACTGCCAGTTCAAAAGAAAACAGCAAACTAAATGAGAGATACCATCAGAGGCAGAGATATTAAAGAGCATGGAACAAACAATTTTATAATAAGAATAACAAATATAATCTTATTAAAAAATAAAAAATTATATAATATATAATTTAAAATATTTATTACAAAAGTATAATTTTTGAGGAGGCAGTCTGCCTGTTCTCAGATCTCCAGCTGCGTGCTGGTAGAACCACTGCTCTCTTCAAAGCTGTCAGACAGGGACATTTAAGTCTGCAGAGGTTACTGCTGTCTTTGTGTTTGTCTGTGTCCTGCCCCCAGAGGTGGAGCCTACAGAGGCAGGAAGGCCTCCTTGAGCTGTGGTGGGCTCCACCCAGTTAGAGCTTCCCTGCTGCTTTGTTTACCTAATCAAGCCTGGGCAATGGCAGGCGCCCCTCCCCCAGCCTGGCTGCCGCCTTGCAGTTTGATCTCAGACTGCTGTGCTAGCAATCAGCAAGACTCCATGGCATAGGACCCTCGGAGCCAGGTGCGGGATATAATCTCCTGGTGTGCCGTTTTTTAAGCCTATTGGAAAAGCGCACTATTAGGGTGGGAGTGACCCGATTTTCCAGGTGCCGTCTGTCACTCCTTTCTTTGACTAGGAAAGGGAACTCCCTGACCCCTTGCGCTTCCCGCGTGAGGCAATGACTCACCCTGCTTTGGCTTGCACACAGTGCACTGCACCCACTGTCCTGCTCCCTCTGTCTGGCACTCCCTAGTGAGATGAAGCCAGTACCTCAGATGGAAATGCAGAAATCATCTGTCTTCTGCGTGGCTCACGCTGGGAGCTGTAGACCAGAGCTGTTCCTATTCGGCCATCTTGGTTCCACCTATATGTGTGTCTCTTCTACACAGAACTTTAAAAAAACCCAACCTGCCAGTCTCTGTCTTTTAATTGCTGAACTGATCCCTTTTATATTCACTGAAGTTATTGATCTATTTGGATTTATTTGTATTACCTTTGCTTATTGCTTCAATTGTCCTGCCTTTGTTTCTGGAGATCTGAGAACCGGCAGACTGCCTCCTCACGTGGGTCCCTGACCCCCGAGCAGCCTAACTGGGAGGCACCACCCAGTAGGGGCAGACTGACACCTCACATGGCCCAGTACTCCTCTGAGACAAAACTTCCAGAGGAACGATCAGGCAGCAGCATTTGTGGTTCACCAATATCCACTGTTCTACAGCCACTGCTGTTCTGCAGCCACTGCTGCTGATACCCAGGCAAACAGCATCTGGAGTGGACCTCTAGCAAACTCCAACAGACCTGCAGCTGAGGGTCCTGTCTGTTACAAGGAAAACTAACAAACAGAAAGGACATCCACACCAAAAACACATCTGCACGTCACCATCATCAAAGACCAAAAGTAGATAAAACCACAAAGATGGGGAAAAAACAGAGCAGAAAAACTGTAAACTCTAAAAAGTAGAGCACCTCTCCTCCTGCAAAGGAATGCAGCTCCTCACCAGCAATGGAGCAAAGCTGGATGGAGAATGAATTGACGAGTTGAGAGAAGAAGGCTTCAGATGATCAAACTACACCGAGCTACAGGAGGAAATTCAAACCAATGGCAAAGAAGTTAAAAACTTTGAAAAAAAATTAGATGAATGGATACCTAGAATAACCAATACAGAGAAGTGCTTAAAGGTGCTGATGGAGCCGAAAGCCAAGGCTCGAGAACTACATAAAGAATGCAGAAGCCTCAGGAGCCGATGCGATCAACTGGAAGAAAGGGTATCAGTGATGGAAGATGAAATGAATGAAATGAAGTGAGAGGGGAAGTTTAGAGAAAAAAAAATAAAAAGAAATGAACAAAGCCTCCAAGAAATATGGGACTATGTGAAAAGACCAAATCTACGTCTGATTGGTGTACCTGAAAGTGACGGGGAGAATGGAACCAAGTTGGAAAACACTCTGCAGGATATTATCCAGGAGAACTTGCCCAATCTAGCAAGGCAGGCCAACATTCAGATTCAGGAAATACAGAGAACACCACAAAGACACTCCTCGAGAAGAGCAATTCCAAGACACATAATTGTCAGATTCACCAAAGTTGAAATGTAGGAAAAAATGTTAAGGGGAGCCAGAGAGAAAGGTTGGGTTACCCACAAAGGGAAGCCCATCAGACTAACAGCGGATCTCTCGGCAGAAACTCTACAAGGCAGAAGAGAGTGGGGGCCAATATTCAACATTCTTAAAGAAAAGAATTTTCAACCCAGAATTTCATATCCAGCCAAACTAAGCTTCATAAGTGAAGGAGAAATAAAATCCTTTACAGACAAGCAAATGCTGAGAGATTTTGTCACCACCAGGCCTGCCCTAAAAGAGCTCCTGAAGAGAGCATTAAACATGGAAAGGAACAACCAGTACCAGCCACTGGTACTGCCAAAATGTAAAGACAAATTTTGCCAAAAACATGCCAAAATGTAAAGACCATCAAGGCTAGGAAGAAACTGCATCAACTAACGAGCAAAATAACCAGCTAACATCATAATGACAGGATCAAATTCACACATAACAATATTAACTTTAAATGTAAATGGGCCAAATGCTCCAATTAAAAGACACAGACTGGCAAATTGGATAAAGAGTCAAGACCCATCAGTGTGCTGTATTCAGGAAACCCATCTCACATGCAGAGATACACATAGGCTCAAAATAAAGGGATGGAGGAAGATCTACCAAGCAAATGGAAAACAAAAAAAGGCAGGCATTGCAATCCAAGTCTCTGATAAAACAGACTTTACACCAACAAAGATCAAAAGAGACACAGAAGGCCATTACCTAATGGTAAAGGGATCAATTCAACAAGAAAAGCTAACTATCCAAAATATATATGCACCCAATACAGGAGCACCCATATTCATAAAGCAAGTCCTGAGTGACCTACAAAGAGACTTAGACTCCCACACAATAATAATGGGAGACTTTAACACCCCACTGTCAACATTAGACAGATCAACGAGACAGAAAGTTATAAAGGATACCCAGGAATTGAACTCAGCTCTACACCAAGCGGACCTAATAGACATCTACAGAACTCTCCACCCCAAATCAACAGAATATACATTTTTCTCAGCACCACACCACACCTATTCCAAAATTGACCACATACTTGGAAGTAAAACACTCCACAGCAAATGTAAAAGAATAGAAATTATAAAAAACTGTCTCTCAGACCACAGTGCAATCAAACTAGAACTCAGGATTAAGAAACTCACTCAAAACTGCACAACTACATGGAAACTGAACAACCTACTCCTGAATGACTACTGGGTACATAAGAAAATGAAGGCAGAAATAAAGATGTTCTTTGAAACCAATGAGAACAAAAACACAACATACCAGAATATCTGGGACACATTCAAAGCAGTGTGTAGAGGGAAATTTATAGCACCAAATGCCCACAAGAGAAAGCAGGAAAGATCCAAAATTGACACCCTAACATCACAATTAAAAGAACTAGAAAAGCAAGAGCAAACACATTCAAAAGCTAGCAGAAGGCAAGAAATAACTAAAATCAGAGCAGAACTGAAGGAAATAGAGACACAAAAACCCTTCAAAAAATCAATGAACCCAGGAGCTAGTTTTTTGAAAAGATCAACAAAATTGATAGGCCACTAGCAAGACTAATAAAGAAGAAAAGAGAGAACAATCACATACATGCAATAAAAAATGATAAAGGGGATATCACCACCGATCCCACAGAAATACAAACTACCATCAGAGAATACTACAAATACCTCTACGCAAATAAACTAGAAAATCTAGAAGACATGGATAAATTCCTCAACACATACACTCTCCCAAGACTAAACCAGGAAGAAGGTGAATCTCTGAATAGACCAATGACAGGCTCTGAAATTGAGGCAATAATCAATAGCTTACCAACCAAAAAAACTCCAGGACCAGATGGATTCACAACCGAATTCTACCAGAGGTACAAGGAGGAGCTGGTACCATTCCTTCTGAAACTATTCCAATTAATAGAAAAAGAGGGAATCCTCCCTAACTCATTTTATGAGGCCAGCATCATCCTCATACCAAAGCCTAGCAGAGACACAACCAAAAAAGAGAATTTTAGGCCAATATCCTTGATGAACATTGATGCAAAAATCCTCAATAAAATACTGGCAAACCGAATCCAGCAGCACACCAAAAAGCTTATCCACCACGATCAAGTGGGCTTCATCCCTGGGATGCAAGGCTGGTTCAATATACACAAATCAATAAATGTAATCCAGCATATAAACAGTACCAAAGACAAAAACCACATGATTATCTCAATAGATGCAGAAAAGGCCTTTGACAAAATTCAACAACTCTTCATGCTAAAAACTCTCAATAAATTAGGTATTGATGGGATGTATCTCAAAATAATAAGAGCTATCTATGACAAACCCACAGCCAATATCATACTGAATGGGCAAAAACTGGAAGCATTCCCTTTGAAAACTGGCACAAGACAGGGATGCCCTCTCTCACCACTCCTATTCAACATAGTGTTGGAAGTTCTGGCCAGGGCACTTAGGCAGGAGAAGGAAATAAGGGGTATTCAAATAGGAAAAGAGGAAGTCAAATTGTCCCTGTTTGCAGATGACATGATTGCATATCTAGAAAACCCCACCATCTCAGCCCAAAATCTCCTTAAGCTGATAAGCAACTTCAGCAAAGTCTCAGGATACAAAATCAATGAGCAAAAATCACAAGCATTCTTATACACCAATAACAGACAAACAGAGAGCCAAATCATGAGTGAATTCCCATTCACAATTGCTTCAAAGAGAATAAAATACTTAGGAATCCAACTTACAAGGGATGTGAAGGACCTCTTCAAGGAGAACTACAAACCACTGCTCAATGAAATTAAAGAGGATACAAACAAATGGAAGAACATTCCATGCTCATGGGTAGGAAGAATCAATATCGTGAAAATGGCCATACTGCCCCAGGTAATCTATAGATTCAATGCCATCCCCATCAAGCTACCAATGACTTTCTTCACAGAATTGGAAAAAACTACTTTAAAGTTCATCTGGAACCAAAAAAGAGCCTGCATTGCCAAGTCAATCCTAAGCCAAAAGAACAAAGCTGGAGGCATCACGCTACCTGACTTCCAACTATACTACAAGGCTACAGTAACCAAAACAGCATGGTACTGGTACCAAAACAGAGATATAGATCAATGGAACAGAACAGAGCCCTCAGAAATAATGCCGCGTATCTACAACTATCTGATCTTTGGCAAACCTGACAAAAACAAGCAATGGGAAAAGGATTCCCTATTTAATAAATGGTGCTGGGAAAACTGGCTAGCCATATGTAGAAAGCTGAAACTGGATCCCTTCCTTACACCTTATACAAAAATTAATTCCAGATGGATTAAAGACTTACATGTTAGACCTAAAACCATAAAAACCCTAGAAGAAAACCTAGGCAATACCATTGAGGACATAGGCATGGGCAAGGACTTCATGTCTAAAACACCAAAAGCAATGGCAACAAAAGCCAAAATTGACAAATGGGTTCTAATTAAATTAAAGAGCTTCTGCACAGCAAAAGAAACTACCATCAGAGTGAACAGGCAACCTACAAAATGGGAGAAAATTTTTGCAACCTACTCATCTGACAAAGGGCTAATATCCACAATCTACAATGAACTCAAACAAATTTACAAGAAAAAAACAAACAACCCCATCAACAAGTGGGTGAAGGATGTGAACAGACACTTCTCAAAAGAAGACTTTTATGCAGCCAACAGACACATGAAAAAATGCTCATCATCACTGGCCATCAGAGAAATGCAAATCAAAACCACAGTGAGATACCATCTCACACCAGTTAGAATGGCAATCATTAAAAAGTCAGGAAACAACAGGTGCTGGAGAGGATGTGGAGAAATAGGAACACTTTTACACTGTTGGTGGGACTGTAAACTGGTTCAACCATTGTGGAAGACAGTGTGGCGATTCCTGAGGGATCTAGAACTAGAAATACCATTTGACCCAGCCATCCCATTACTGGGTATATACCCAAAGGATTATAAATCATGCTGCTATAAAGACACATGCACACGTATGTTTATTGCGGCACTATTCACAATAGCAAAGACCTGGAACCAACCCAAATGTCCAACAATGAAAGACTGGATTGAGAAAATGTGGCACATATACACCATGGAATACTATGCAGCCATAAAACATGATGAGTTAATGTCCTTTGTAGGGACATGGATGAAACTGGAAACCATCATTCTCAGCAAACTATTGCAAGGACAAAAAACCAAACACTGCATGTCCTCACTCATAGGTGGGAATTGAACAATGAGAACACATGGACACAGGAAAGGGAACATCACACTCCAGGGATTGTTGTGGGGTGGGAGGAGTGGGGAGTGATAGCATTAGGAGATATACCTAATGCTACATGGCGAGTTAATGGGTGCCGCACACCAACATGGCACATGTATACATATGTAACAAACCTGCATGTTGTGCACATGTACCCTAAAACTTAAAATATAATAATAATAAAATAAAATAAAAAAATCACAAACTCCCCCCCCCAAAAAAAAAGAAGAGACACACATAAACGATAAGAATACAAAAAGATGGGCCTGGCACAGTGGCTCACGCCTGTAGTCCCAACACTTTGGGAGGCCGAGGCGGGTGGATCCCAAGGTCAGGAGATCAAGACCATCCTGGCTAACACAGTGAAACCCCGTCTCTACTAAAAATACAAAAAATTAGCCAGGCGTGGTGGTGGGTGCCTGTGGTCCCAGCTACTGGGGAGGCTGAGGCAGGAGAATGGCGTGAACCCGGGAGGTGGAGCTTGCAGTGAGCCGAGACCACACCACTGCACTCCAGCCTGGGTGACAAAGGGAGACTACGTTTCAAAAAAAAAAAAAAAAAGCAAAAAAGAATACAAAAAGGTGAAATTAAAATGATGCCAAAAGACATACCAACCAAATTCGAAAAGAAAGGCACACTAGTATAGCTATACTGATAGTAAACAAAATAGACTTTAAATCAAAACTAATCATTAGGGATAGAAAGGTCCCATATACATTGATAAATGTTTCCATTCATCAAGGGAGAAGATACAATAATTTTAAACATATATACAATTCAAGAAGTTTTCTATATATTAAGCAAAAAATCGTAGGACTACAGTTATAAATATATAAATCCATCATCAGAATGGGAGATTTCAATGTGAATTTCTCACTTATTAATAAGGCAAGCCGATAAAATATATGTATATATAGGATCTAAACACAATTAAGAAGCTTGATCTATACTTACATATAGAATGCTAAAAACTATTTAAGAAAAAATCTGCTTCTCAAGAATATAAGCAACATTACAAAAATTAGTCATATACTGGAATATAATTCAAGCCTCCACAAATTTCAAAGAATATATTGCAGACTATTTTCTGATCATACTTCAAATCCGTTAAAAGTTAATTACAAAAATAAAAACTTCCCACACATTTTGAAATTCAAACAAAAATGTACCTAATTAACACATGAGAAAATATTATAATTATCTAGAACTACTTAATAATGATAATACTATGTTTTAAAACGTGTAGCCTACACCTGAAGTGTTTTGAGGGAAATCTATAGCGTTGTTTACTTATATAAGAAAAGAAAAAAATCTTAACATTAATAAGATAAGGGTAAAACTTAAGAAACTGGACAAAACAACAAAATAAAATCAAAGAAATTACAAAGAAAGAAAGAAACTAAGAGCAGAAATTGATAAAATAGATAAACAACACAATTGAGAACATCAATAAAGTCAAAAATTGTTTTTTTGAAAAAATAAAATCGACTAAACTGTTCCAAAAGAAACCGAGGAAAAAAAAAACAAATAAAAACATTTTGAATGAGCAGTCTGCAAAAGTTATATACTGCTTGTTTCTAAATATATGACATTCTAGAAAAGGCAAAATTACGTGTAGACAACAAAAGGATCAGCAACTGCCAAGAATTCAGGGTAAAATGTGGAGAGGGATGAATAGAAGGATGTCAGGGCATTTGTGGGGGTGAAACTAATTTTCATGTACTGTAACTGTAATGTAATCCGCAGTTGTAATGGTAGACACATAACATTATACATTTGTCAAAAATTGTACAACACAAAGAGTGAACTCTAATATCTATTTTGGATTTTAATTAACAATCATATATTAATATTGGTTGATCAGTTTTAACAAATGTACCACATTAACACGAGGGGTTAAACAATAGGAGAAACCCTATAAGATATGGCAAGGGGGCATATAGGAACTCTCTACATTTTCTGCATACATTTTCTGTACATTTAAATCTGCTCTAAAAACCAGTCTTTTTAAGTATTATTAATTACAAAGTGGATAAAACTACAGATAAAAGAGACTTTTCAAAGGAAATTATTCATATACTCAGTATTTTCCATGTTAATTACTTAAAATGCAACTCATTTATGTGAAAATAGAAAGCATGAGTTGTTCCATAACTATTACATAAATTAAAGCAATAGTTTTTAAAATGCTTATACAAAGCAAACATAGGGATAAGACGATTTTATTATAGGTAGTTCCCATCAAACTTGCAAGGCAAATTTTATCCCAATCTTAAAACGACTACAAAAAAATGAAATTCTTTCCAAATCCTTTAACAAAAAAAGCCATTATAAACCTAACATCAAGACCAGATTAAAAATATAAAGAACAAATCCAAATCGATTGAAATAATAAAATCTTTTAGCATGGTGTCTAGATATAAGACAAATATGTGGAGTTTATTGTACTTCTATGCATCAACCACAAAACTAGAAAGCAATTAAAAACATACCATGTACAACAGTCTCAAAGAATATTAAGTGTCTGGTAATAACTATAAATATATTCCGAGGTTTTTATATACTCAAAAATCACAAGTTTATGTAAGGAGACATGCAAGAACATTCATGACAGTATTTTTGACAATAGCAAAAATCTTTAATAGGCATATAGTTAAGTAAAACATGGTTTCATCATATAATGGATTATTAGATATTAGCAAAATTGTATGAATTATAGCTGCACCACTACACAAAAAATTAATCTTAATAACATAAAATTTATCAAAAAGGCAAATGCCAGATTACATTCAATGATAACCTTTTAATAAAGTTAAAAAACTGTTACAGGCCAGGCGTGGTGGCTCACACCTGTAATCCCAGCACTTTGGGAGGCCGAGGTGGGTGGATCATCTGAAGTCAGGAGTTTGAGACCAGCCTGACCAACATGGTGAAACCCCGTCTCTACTAAAAAATACAAAAATCAGCCGGGCATGGTGGCATGTTCCTGTAGTCCCAGCTACTCAGGAGGCTGAGGCAGGAGAATGGTGTGAACCCAGGAGGTGGAGGTTGTAGTGAGCCGAGATCATGCCATTGCACTCCAGCTTGGGTGACAGAGCAAGACTCCATCTCAAAAAAAACAAAAACAAACAAAAAAAAGGTTACAAATCCATATATGTATGAAAAAACTGTACTATACACACATACGTTATGGTGTTTTACATATATGCATACATATGACATATTGATAGATGAATTAGATAGGCAAGATTTAAAATATTCATTGATTTTACAAATTCAGAAATTTTTAAATACACTTATAGAGTTGTGGTACTGTCATCACAATCCAGTTTTAGAACATTGTCATCACCATCCATAGCTGTCTTGTGCCCATTCAGTCAGTAGCCACTCACTCCCACTCTCAGGCCCAAATAACCACTGATCTGCTTTCTGTCTGTATAAATCTGCATTTTCTGGACACTTTGTATACACAGAATCATACAATGTATGCCCTTTTGCCTGGCTTCTTTTATTTATCATAAGATTTTACAGGTTTAACCATGTTGTAACATGCCTTCATATTTTGTTTCTTTTTGTTGCTGAATAATATTCCATTACATTGATATACCACATTTTCTTTCTTTTTTCTTTCCAACTTTTATTTTAGGTTCAGGGTATATATGCGCAGGTCTGTTATATGGGTAAATTGTATGTCTTGGGAGTTTGGTATACAGATAATTTTGTCACCCAGGCAATCAGCATAATACCCGATAGATAGTTTTTCAATCTTCACCTTCCTCTCACCCTCCACCCACAAGTAGGTCCCAGTGTCTATTGCTCCCTTCTTTGTGTCCATGTGTCCTCAATGTTTAGCTCTCACTTATAAGTGAGAACATCTGGTGTTTGGTTTTCTCTTCCTACATTAATTCGCGTAGGATAATGGCCTTCAGCTCCATCCATGTTGCTGCAAAAGATGTGATCTCATTCTTTTTTTTGACTGCGTAGTATTCCATGATGTATATACACCATATTTTCTTTATCCAGTCCACCACTGATGGCCATCTAGGCTGATTCCATGTCTTTGCTATTGTGAATAGTGCTGCAACGAATATACTCATGCATGTATCTTTATGGTAGAATGATTTATATTTCTTTGGGTATATGCCCAGAAATGAGATTGCTGGGTCGAATGGTAGCTCTGTTTTACATTCTTTGAGAAATCTCCAGACTGTTTTCCATTGTGGCTGAAGTAATTTACATTCCCAACAGCAGCATATAAGCATTCTCTTTTCTCCACAACCACCGTAACATCTGTTATTTTTGAACTTTTTAGTAATAGCCATTCTGACTAATGTGAGATGGTATATCACTGTGGTTTTGAATTTGCATTTTCCTAATTATTAGTGATATTAGGCATTGTTTCATATGCCTGTTGGCCATGTGTATGTTTTCTTTTGAGAAGTGTCTATTCATGTCCTTTATCCATTTTCTAATGGAGTTGTTTTTTGTTTGTTGATTTGTCTAAGTTCTTTACAGATTCTGGATATTAGACATTTGTCAGGTATATAGTTTGCAAATATTTTCTCCACTCTGCAGGCTGTTTATTCTGTTGCTTGCTCTTTTGCTGCGCAGAAGCTCTTTAGTTTAATTAGGTCCCATTTGTTAATTTTTGTTTTGGTTGCAATTGCTTTGGAATCTTCATCATAAAGTCTTTGCTAGGGCCAATGTCCAGAATGGTATTTGCTAGGTTTTCTTCTAGGGCTTTTAGAGTTTTTGGTTTTACATTTAAGTCATTAATTCATCTTGAGTTTATTTTTGTATATGCTAAAAGGTAGGGGTCCAGCTTCAATCTTCTGCATATGGCTAGCCAGTTATCTCAGCACCATTTATTGAATAGGGAGTCCTTTCCTCATTGCTTATTATTGTCAGCTTTGTCAAAGATCAGATGGTTATAGGTGTGCGGCTTTATTTCTGGGTTCTCTAGCCCAGAAAAAAAGAGAAAATGAACTCATTTGGGTATAAATGACCACATAACTTTCTGAATTTATATTAGCTACAAAAGAAGGCTGAGTAAAGGTCTCTCATCAATAAAACTATCTCTGTTTATCTTTGAGAATACCTTATATATTTTTATATCTTATTGACCTAGCTCCATCTGAAATACTAAAAAATATATATTTTAAATTTTTGCTCTTGTGGCTTCACCAATACTGGTTTAAAAAATAACAAAATTCTGATCAAAATGATTCAGGAAAAAAATGTGTCATTATAGTCAAAATGCTTTGCTGTTTCAACAGCTACACTCTCAAAGGCAGGCCCTGTAGGGCATGTGTATTCTATGCTGCCGCAGCAGTTCCATCAATGAGTCCAAACACCAAGGGGAACATGAAAATCCCTCTGTCTTCAACATTCCTGAGGAAAATAAAACCATATTTATATGTGCATATTTTTGCAAACATAGATAGCTACATAATAGCATACAGCATAATATAGTGTAGGATATATGGCAAGAAAAATACACATAACTATTAAGATTCCAAATCCTCTTTCATTTTTGAATAACTGAAAAGAAAATTGCAATAGGCCAGATATTTTGCTGTGATGATTCAGAACTGCACAGATAATGCTGAATGGCACAGAAATGATTTCGTTCCTACTAAAAGTGAGTAAAACTGAAACTACCTGCCCAGTAACAATAATGAGACACACTGAGAAACTCTTAAACACTTATTCATTAATGATTCTTTATTCATTAATAGAAGTCAGAGTATAAGCTAACTTACTAGGGAAACTGGAATAATAAAAACATGCTTAGTCCAGGAAAGAAAATAACTTAGAATAATAATACATCAACATAAATGAATTTTTAAAAAATCAAGAACAACCCTATTGATCCTACAACCAATTTTGGCCATACTCCAGAGACAACCATCTCCAATCCCTACCCCCAATCATGTTCTGCTTTGTCTCCTTCTACCACATGGCTTGACTTTTACCCTAAACTGCCTACCTATTGTGTATTTCCTATATCCATAAACACAGGTGCCCAGTTATCCAAGCCAGAAACCTGCAAGTCCCACTAGATTCTCCCTCAGCTCTGCCCAAGCATCTAATCAATCACAAAATTTTGCTGATTCTTTCACCTTACTGTTTCTTGAATCTGTTCATCCATCATCCCCACTGCTGCTTTTTCAAGCTTCATCATTTCTTGCCTGAATTACTGCAACTGTCTTCTAGGCTTCTTGCCAGTTGTTTTACCCTCTTCAATTCGTTCTCCAAAAGCAGTCAGTGAATTTGCTGGAATGCACATCAGGCTTTCCATGACTCCCCAACGATAAGATAACATTTAAACTCTGTAGAGCAGCACTCAAAACCCTGCCTGGGCGGGCCCCTGCTTACTAACCTGACAGCAGCTCGTTCCACATTCCTCTTGGTACTTTTCATTTCAACCTAAGCCAGCACTGCCCAGTAGAAATATAGCATAGGCCATACTTCAAAGAAAGTAAAAACAGGTAAATTGCATTCTAATAAAATACCATATTTAACCCAATATAGCCAAAGTATTATGATTTCAACATGTAGCATTAGCCACATGTTGGCCACAGTTCAAGTGGTCAATAGCCACATGTGGCTAGCAGCTACCATACCAGACAGTGTAGGCCTAAGACATTTACATTTTCCCCAGTCTTCCCTATGCTTGACCATCTCTAGAATTTTTCGTTGGCTGCTACTTCTGCCTGGAATTCCCACCTTCCCTCTTCATATTCCACCCCACTGTGGTTACAATTTCTCCCCTATTGTGCCCTTCCTGACCCACCACCTGCAAATTATGTGTCTCTTTCATGCACTTCCAGAGCACACTGAGTTTTCTTTAGCAAAGAGTATATAGAAAGTTCTTTTCTTTTTACTTATATCAGAGGTATCTTAAAATGTCTAGTAATTAGTATAATATTTGACACATGGTAGGTTAAATACACACTCATGGTTGCCCACCCCATCAAAACTCCTCCTTTACTCAGTATCCGCCTGCTCTCCTATGGCCCAGGTAACTCAGAGGATACGAAGCTCATTGTTAGCTACTAGGGTGGAGCCTAAGTGGAAATTGATCAGCACATGATATTATTCTGGGGATTGTTATTGGTTCCAGATGGGCATGTGAACAAAGTTGCTCCAATTAAGCTGAAGGGAAAGAGCTTATTCCAGAGTTAGGGCAAAGGTTCTTCCTTTTTCCCCCACAATATGTGACTAAGGAAGTGTGCTGCCCCTTTTGCCACCAGCAACCTCCCTATAACGAGCCCTCCAAAAGAGCAAAAGAGAAGGAAAGAACATGGAGTCATTAGGCAATCTAGCTTTAAAGTCTGCACTGTGTCCAGATTTCAGAGTTTATGAGATAATAATTTTCTAATTTTAAAAGCTAGTTTGAAATAGTTTTTTATTACCTGCAGCCGAATGTATATGACTGATCTTGTTAACTTGTGTTAAGTGAATGCTTATTATGTGACATTGTTCTAGATATTTTACAGATTTTCCAACCACTCATATGAACTTCATATTTTTGCATTTTATATTTTACTTCTATTTCTTATTGAAAATAGTTTTCAGGGATAAGTTTTCCTGTGCTAATTAGAATGTTTTTTCCTGCTATCATGCTCAAGGTGAGATGCCTCCTTGGTGTCTGTGAGGCAAGAATTTAGATTGTTGCAGACCAGAGACTGAAGAGTGTCCCCATTATTTGCCTTTCTGCCTGTGGGTATATATTACTCTTACATAGCTCCTGTTTCATAATGGCATATAGGTATGGGGGAGGTAGATAATTTGTTGTACTCCTTACATCAAGCCAAAAGGACAGCCATCCACATGTAACAGGGAGTACTTCACAATACCCAGGGATACTGTACCTGGACCAAATAGGACTTTAGGTTGTCTTCCTTTGGGAAATGATGGAATCAGGGGGTGTTCTATGTTCAGGAAAACACAAAGGTGGACATTTAGCAAGCTGAGGCAGAGATGAAATGATGTGTTCACAGAATCCCCTTTCACTCTCCTTTCCCTAGGCCCCTTATTTGGAGTTAGGTCAGGTGCCATGTGACTAAATCTGCCCAAAGGAATGTGAACATATGTAATGTCAGCCACACCAGGTCTAGGCCTTGTAACAATCTCACACAATTGTTCATACTGTTTCATGAAGGTCTGTGCCAAAAATGGCAGTATCTCAAGGTACATGATGCCAGAATCCCCAAAGGATTGCTTGGAGAGAGCTCCAACATCCGTTAGACTAAAACATGAACCAGAAAGAGGTTCTATTATATTAAACCACTAAGATTTTTAGGATTTTTCTTAAAACAACTAGTGTTACTTATGCTGATTAAAATAGTACTCAATAAATGCTTGTTGGATAAGGAAATTGGGTCAAAACAGGATATCATTTCACTTAATAAGACATCCACAGTAACTTCTGCCAAAACAAAGCAAAAAAAATTAAATTAAATTAAGAATTTTACACTCTTCCACTCCACAAGGGGATCCATACCATCTGTATCTGAAATTATTCACTGCTAATTACTCAGTTTTTAGCACATACCTGGCACTGAGTATGTGTTTAATAAACATTTATTGCAACTTCTAAATGTTTGGAGTTCCACAGAGTCGTCCTTAAGCCTGATTGTATATAGAATTACATATTTTATAGGACTATAGTTGATTTTATTTTTGTCTTTATACTTACCTTGGTTTTCAAGCCATATCCATTAGTTATTATTTCATTATAATAAAAAAGTAAAAGTTTATTTTCAGAATCTATAAATCAATGTTGAACATTTATAAGAAAGCAAAATCATGGTATCAAATTAAGGTTGAAATAACAAAACAAATACTAGAGAAACCAAGTAATATATTCTGAAGCATTAGCTATAATAATGGTCATTATGAAGGAATTCTGTCAGAAAGCACTTCAATCAAATAGTAACGTAAGACACAATTACAAGAAAAATCAGCCTGGAGATTCTAGTCTCTTACTTTACAAGAAAAGTAAAATATTCTGGGTTATTTTAAGCCTCTAAAAAAATAGTTTCTATCACCTGAAAGCTGAATACATTATTTAACACTGTGATCTCTAATGCAGTACAGTAAAAGGCACAGTGTCTTTTGATGCAAAACAAGAATTAAGGAAAGTTACAGTGTCTGCTTTGAGATTTGGAAGATAAGAAGAAGGAAAAGATAAGAAGAAGGAGCTAGAACCTGAAAGGAATGAGGAAATCGAATAGACTGGACTTCTCACATTTTGATTTAGCATCTTGTTTAACCACTAAGCATCTTATTCCCTAAGGAGTATTTATCTTTAAGTTTTGTGGGAAGAGTGTAAATTGCACATAGGAATTAATTAATTTAATGCTTCAGTGTCCCACCTAATCAGATTATAAATCACTCTCTCAGACCGTATCTCTTATAATCATGACATCCCTAAGAGGTAAATTTGTAGATTAGGTTATTGATTAAATGTGGGGAGGGTGAAAGACATAAAGTCGTCGGGATTGACTGCCAAGGTTTGACATGAACAATTGGGTGGTTAATGGCGCCATTTATTGTGGCAGTCCACACATTCTAATGTGCATAGGAATCACCTGGAGAGTGTTTAACTATTTCAGTTCCCTGGTCCACACTCTAAAATTCTGGCTCAGTAGATTTATAGAAAGGAGTCTTGGAATTTGAATTTTTCTAAAAGTACCCCTAGAGGATTCTAGTACAAGTGAGTAGAGGACAACCTTTTGAGATATTTATAAATAAGGGGCACCCTGGAGGAGAAACAGATTTGTGGAAAAGATCCTAAGTTTTAGCTGCAGACAAGAATGTTCTGCTGATGTGAATCTGAATAAGTTTGTCCCCATGTGTTTCTAAGCTAACACTAAGGAAGAATGAACACTGAGAAGTTCCGAGCCAGGACATTGAAAGACTCTCAAACCATTACAATGGGAATAGCTCTGGGATTCAGGAACTATGCGGGCTCAGACAAAGAAGTCCACCCCAAAAAGTTGTATTTTCCAAACCTTAGGAAGGTAGGCAGTAGATGAATTAAACATAAGAAAATAAGGCAAATGCCTGAGGTTATATGAGCACTGTCAATATTCATCTGCGATCCAGACACTTTAATATTTGCTATATGTGCTTTATAGTATTTTATGTTCATTAAACTCCTAGCACGATTTCATGCTTACAGAGAATGATGGTTTTATGGGGGTGAGGAGAGGAAAGGGACACACAGAGGTGAAAGTACACACTGGCAACCAGCCTTATGAAGATTGCCTAGCAAATAAGACAAGTAGCTTATAAGAGGCATGACCTGGAACTTGCAGCATAGAGAATAGAATTGAGCTCAATTTAAATTAACCTAGCCCCGTGACAGTAGAAATCAGTCACAGCAGATGAAAGGGCCATGTTGTTTATGCCCGTATCTTTGGTTTTAACAGATCTGGGAGATGAAGGTTTATCCTTTCATTTAAACATTTGATGATGGTATCCTTAAAAGAACTATAAAATGCCATTTTAATATCCTTATGGGTGCAAAGTGCTTCTTAATTTCCAGATAAATATAACTTTGGAAATGTTCTCAATTTAAGAGAGGGCTAGGAATATATAGAAGTCAGAGAAGAAGTGGTTATCTGCTCTCTCCTTGGGACATGAGAAATATTGACCAAATTATGAGATACTATTAACAGTCACCAAGGAGAACAATTTTGAATCAAACTCAAAGAATATATCTATAATATCTTCATATGCAGTAATTTCTTACCAATTTCTTTTTTAATGGCTTCAATACAATTCCATTTCTTTTGGCATTCAGAGGCTTTATTAATATATTCCTACTTTTATTGAATTCTAAAACTAAAATGATGAGGTTGAGTGATATCCAAGAAAAAAAATTTGGAATATTTTAGCTCACCAAAAACTTAGTGCATAATTCTGTTCAAATTTAATATATCCTCACACTAAAATTCTATTTTCAAAATCTTACATTTCAGTTGCTTTTTTTTCATGTTAAATAGGCTAAGCAATGGATAATTCTCCTTTTAAAAGTGACCAAAAATGTGTACATTACTTTTAAAAAGTGCATGTCAGTGTTAAATACAAATAATAAGAATACATGGTTGGAATTTTCACTTATCCTTGAAAGACCAAGAAATTGGAGTTTAAATGCATTTAAATGCAATGAAAACACTGATTCATTAGAGAGCAGGTTGCTATGTAATTTACAGTGTTTGGCATTCACGCACTCATTATTTAGTACATGATACTTTTTATGAAGATATGTAAACTCTCTGGGCACAGATCCATTTTAAAAACCTAGTTCCTCTGAAACAAAGAAATGCTTGAGGAAAGAAAGCTGCAAAAATAAAATAGCTGACTGCAGAGACAGCCACCTGTGGAGTAGTGTACATTCTGGAGAATTTTCAATGTAGAAGACAACAGGACATCAAATCACATGTATTCTAAGGAGCTGCAGAGTTTAAACTATGAAATGAGGAGGCATCAAATAAAACAGAAAGCAAACAAATTTAATATGGGAAGGTCACTGGAGATGCCAATAAGAAAAATAAAGGTTGTCCAGGAAAGATTGCGAGTGTGCATTTTGAACCTGCAACAGGCGATGCAGACATTGTACCTCAACCCTTGCAGAGGAGCACTAAGCTAGTGTCCTGTGACTTACTGAGCATATTGATGGTCTTGCTTTACTGCTTACTTTTAGGTCATCTTCTATTCATTAGAAAACACTAGGCACTGCATGAAGCACTCCTATCATCTTGTTTAATTCTTATAATCTTGTTTTAATTCCCCTTACGATGTGATAGTTGAGATAAGATACATAAGATATGCTTTTTTGCCCAAGTCACCTACCTAGGAAATGGAAGAGACAACGTTTGAACTCAAGTCTGATTGAGAGCAAGGATGACATCTGTATAATGCCAGCTTCCTGGCATAGATTACTGCTATTCATCAAGAGAGTAAACCCAGAGAAAAATTTGTTTTACCCTACATACCTTTTAAAATTGTATTTATTTGTAATTATTTACAAAATTATCTAACAGCACTTTCTCTTGCACTTTAGGTTGGCTGCAACACAGCAATCATGATTGTTGATTTTTCTGTCATTATTGATCCTACTAATTCTAACACATGCTTATGGGATTTTAGATGAATAAGTAAACGAAGTTATTTTTGAGAACTAGAGAAGTATGAAATCTGGGGACCCATCCTTTGTAATCTTTAAAAATGCCACAAAAGGCCAGGCAAAGTGAGTGGCTCATGCCTATAATCCCAGCACTTTGGGAGGTTGAGGCAGGAGGATCACTTGAGCCCAGGAGTTTGAGACCAGCCTGGGCAACATGGTGAGACCCCATCTCTACAAAAGAAAAAAATGCCGCAAAAGATAATCTGCTCATAAAAGACTGACCACATGCTGCCTCTTTGTCTATCCCATCTAACTATATGGTCTTGCTTTGCTATTGTGCTCCTAGTTCAATTGCAACTTCTGCTTTTAAAATGGTCAAAATGACACTATTAATAATTATATAAATCACCATCTGCACTTATGTTGAGCACATGGTATGAATCAGAGTATCAGGCACTCATTATTTCAATAGCACTGTGTAGCAAACCTCCCTAGAACTCAATGAGCATTTTCCCCAGCAAGTGGACATGGATCAACCAATTTACACTCAGCTTAAATGGGCATCTCTGCTTCACACTGTGGGTCTACATTTGATTCTTCACTGTGAGTTGGGCTCACGTCTCCCACATGAATCTTCCTTCTGGTCCCAGGCTGAAGGAACAGTAGCTACTCAAGGGAAGCTCTTCTAGTAGAGACGCCACAAGTGCAAGTGGGCAAACCCAACTGGGCAAGCACATTTCCGGGTTTTGCTGTGTCACGTCTTCCATAAAGCAGGATGCATGCTCAAGCTCAAGTCAAGGGAAGGACCCCCATCCACAGAGGGCTGAAATGCAAATCCATGCAACAAATACATGGAGAAGTACGGAATTGGGACCAATAATTCAATCTACCAAAGAGCAACCATGTAAAGTTTTTTCATATCGTGTTAATTTTAACCGATCCGCAAAGTTGGAATTAATTTTTCAATATTCTCAAAAAGAAAAGTGAGATAAAGGTTAAAAAAACTCATATAATGTGACAGTTATTAAATAGAAAGTATGAGATACAAACTTGATCTGCCTAATTCCAAAGTTCTTTCACTCTTCTCTAATCATGGCTTCTCTCAAAACACAAGATAGTTAATTCTATTTCTCTTGAAATATTTATGTGGAACTTCACATTTTATAAAACATTTTCACATTTTTTTTCTCACTTATTGATGTAACTGCCTGGGACAAAATTTGAACTTTCTCGGGATCCATTCTTCACTTCTTGTTGCATTATCTAGCCACTGCTGGTTACCCTATTAAAGTTAGTGACTTAGCTCACCCCAAAATTAACTAACTATACATACCAATTAGTTCACCACTTTTTACTGAACTGACTCCTAAGTTTAACACAAGAATAAAAATTAAATAAACAAGATTCGTGCTTAGAAAAATCAGGTTATTGTCTGGTACAAATGTAAGTCATGCTGCATTATCACTCAAACTGACTCAAGTTGTTTTTGGTTTTGTTTTATATACTATATATATACTGAGAACCTACTATGTGTCAATCATATCATATTTCCTAATTTGGCCTGATAGTAGTACAATAAAGCATGTGTTATTAACTTGATATTACAAATTAGGAAATGGAGTCTCCAGGAGGTTAAGTAATACTATCAAGGTCATATTGGGATTCCAGTTTGGGTTGGCTGTCTGACAATGGCTAGCTAGTGTTGTTCACCATCTAGTAATCTGAATCCCCTTTTTCTAAAATTCACAAAAATTGGCCCATCCCCGCCCCAGGCTGTATGGTGTTCAGGTATTACCACAGAACTCCTGTAGACAAAGCCAGATGCCTGTCCTCCAGAAAGACATTTCCTGAATGATCTCTTTTCACACAACAAATGTGGAGGCAAAAAAATACTGAGAAACAAATTATAGAGAAAGTAATGGTGAGAAGAATAAAATTCTCCAAATAAGAATAACTGAGGCCTGAGGATCAAGACTCCATAAAACAGGATAAGAAGTATATAGAAGAAGAATAAGCATGAGTCCTTTGAAGCGTCTTTAAGAAGTAAGCTCTGGGCCAGGCGCGGTGGCTCACACCTGTAATCCCAGCACTTTGGGAGGCCGAGACGGGTGGATCCCCTGAAGTCAGGAGTTCGAGACCAGCCTGACCAATATGGAGAAACCCCATCTCTCCTAAAAATACAAAATTAGCCGGGTGTGGTGGCGCATGCCTGTAATCCCAGCTACTTGGGAGGCTGAGGCAGCAGAATCGCTGGAACCCAGGAGGTGGAGATTGCAGTGAGCCAAGATCGCACCATTGCACTCCAGCCTGGGCAACAAGAGCAAAACTCCATCTCAAAAAAAAAAAAAAAAAAGAAATATATAGAAATAAATAGAAAATATTTTCCTTTGAAATAAAAATAAAACTGAACCTCTTTTTTGTTTAAAAAAAAACAAACTAATATGGAAAAATTGACATCAGAACACTTATTGTTTAGGTTAATTCCAAAAATATAGAAATATTATAGTGTTTAACAAAATTAAAATTAAAATATGACTAACATCACCCTGAAAGTGGTGGAAAAAAAGAAAGAGAGAAATTCAAGAGTGTGATTTCCCTTTTCTGTCATAACAGGGAGTTTATATTATATACAATTGAAATCCATAATAATAAAAAGCACAATGGTTCTGAAATTTTAATATTTCTCATAATCTTCTTCTCTTCAATTTAGAGGGAACTTGTGGAGAATAATATTTCTTTGTGGTGAAAAAATATTTATCCAAAATTCAATAATTCTTTGTTTCATTTTATTCTTTTCTTTTTGAACAATTCAAATAAACTTAACTTTATAACTTATATTTAAAATAATAGATCATATCCAATTTTTATAAAATTATCTTCACCTATCTGGATATAAGCATAGAGAGATGTCAGAATAGCATTCTCCTGATATTAGTGTTAGTTTTTTGTGGTTCATGGAATGTGCGGTAATATTTTCTTCACTTTTCAGTTTATGTTTATTTTTTAATGAGTATAACTATTGTATAAAAACTTAAAAAATATTTTATTTTTAAAGAATTGTGTTTACAGACATTCAAAGCTTCATTTTCCAATTTCCTAACAAAATATTTCTTTGTAACTATGTAGTGTATTTAATTCAACAAATATTGACTGAATACTTCAGGTGTCCGATCCATTATGCTAGGAACTGAGGGCTCCAAAATGAACAAACTCCTGCATTGGAGGAGACAAGAATGCAACGGGAACAATGTTAACATAATGTGTTGGGTGCTGAGAGAGTGGTACATGGGGTGTTCATACATACAAGAGGAGCATCCCCCAAAATCTGAGGAGCTCCAAGCAGGCTTCCAGCAGGAATAACACTTGGACTGAGTTTTAGAGCATGGTTAGGAATTCTGAAAAGAAAAAAAGAAAAAAAAAGAAGAAGAAGAAGGAAAGTGGGGAAAATCGGCCGGGTGCAGTGGCTCACGCCTGTAATCCTACCACTTTGGGAGGCCGAGACAGGTGGATCACGACGTCAGGAATTCAAGACCAGCCTGGCCACGACAGTGAAACTCCGTCTCTGCTAAAAAACTACAAAAATTAGCCAGGAGCCATGGGAGGTAATCCCATGGCTGTAATCTCAGCCTGTAATCCCAGCTACTTGGGAGGCTGAGGCAGGAGAATATCTTGAACCAGGGTGGCAGAGGTTGCAGTGGGCTGAGATTGTGCCACTGCACTCCAGCCTGGGCGACAGAGAGAGATTCTGTCTCAAAAAAAAAAAAGAAAAAAAAATGAAAAGGGGGAAAATAATTCTAGGCAGAAGACAGCATAGTATGAGTCAAATCACAGGGATTTGAGAAGGGCACTGCAGATTAAGAACCTGCTAAACAACCTACAGAAAAAGCTAACAGAATATAAACATGGATGGGTTGAGCTTTCAGAGCCAAAATGTGAGTGTGTTAAACAAGTACAATCTTCTTACTAAGAGGAAGCCAGAGGCATAGAACTCTGGTTTAGTGAAGGGTGCAGGGAGGGAAATGGACAGGACAAACAATTGTCTTTTGTAAGTTCAGGATGATAGTATCCCTTGCCTTCCCCAGCTGTGTTCACCTGGAGTCCCTGACCACCTGTAAGCTCTACTGTGCCCTGATCCTAAGTCAGCTCAGTTAACTCAGTTCCAGAGCAGGATGCTCTAGGCCTAGGAAGGTGATGTGTGAAATGAGATTGGCACAGAGACTAGGTTCAGGGCATCCAGGGCTGATGACTGACAGCCTTCACTTACCACCTACTCTGCTGAGTTTCTGTCTCCTTTTCCTATCTTTGCTTCTCCGTGTATGGTATGGAGGTTTTTGCTGAAGACAAGATGTGGCTGCAGGGCTCATACCTTGTCTAGCTCTTTCCAGGCTCCTCTTTCAGAGGGACAGGGGAAAAGAGAATCCTACTTACCATGGCAATTTACTAGTTCTCTCTTTTTCTGAAGAGATCTATGCTGCCATCTGCCTGAAGCCTTGTTCTGTCATTCATTTAGCACCACTGTGGCCAAGCCCCCACTGCCGCTTAGACCACCCTGGATATTCACATCTGCCGAGATCAGGGCAGTTCTGACACTTTCTGATTAATCCTATGCCTGGGTCAGACTGCTTGGCATCCAAGCTTCCTCCTCTTGTTACAAGTATGCTTTGCAGCCAAGCCAAGTGACGTACAACATGAGCTGAAAAAGGAGTGCTCTAACTGAAAAAGCACAATGTCAAAGAAATCCATCAAGTCCAGCTTTCAAATCTGGGTTTGTAGATAAGATTAGGATGAGAAAGCCTGCTATAGAGGAGTCAGGTATTAGATAAGAAATTATATGTATGTTAGGCTTTATATTGTTTCCTTAACATTGATGACATGGTATTAATTATGAATAGATAAAAGTTAATATCTTTGTGATGTTATGTTTTGATTTGTTTCTTTTCATTGTATCACTCTGTTCTTACTTCTGCCTTTTAGGGATATGTTATCCTACAGTTTGAACAGTGACCAGGTTTTCTTCCTAAGATTTATGTTGACAAAACATAGGTTCAGGTTTTCTTCACAATTTTATGTTTTGTAATTCTGCACAGAAATATATATATATATATACACACACACACATAAATATAAAATACACACTCTATATTTAGAGGAATATATATACATATGTATATATGTATGTATTCTTAACAGTTTCAGCTGTTAAGAAAAGAATTGTATCTTTTTAGAAATATACTTTGATCATCCTCTTGGGAATAGAGAATGAGATCCTCAGGATTTGCTCTTTAGTATCTAAGGCCACAAACCCAATATGTAAACTGTTCTGTATCGTAAAGAACATGGACCTAATGGAGAATGGTTAAAAAAAGAAGAGGAAGAAAGGAACAGAGGATGGAGCTACACAGGGGAAGTTTAACTTGTACAACAGAATAGACCTGAACTTCTAGGAATTATTGTTTGCTTTTCTCTTATGCTGTTTTCGCCAACTCTTTAGTATTGTACACACATCTACGTGTTCTGTGAAGTTTTTTTTTTATGATTGTTTGTCTGTCTTTTTAGTTTTGTAAAAACTAAGGAAAAGAGATGAGTTCTATACCCAGAATGATGTGAAACAGGATAGGAACAATGTGAGTGTGAGAGGTGAAGCTGGCTGGGCTTCTGGGTTGGGTGGGGACTTGGAGAACTTTTCTGTCTACCTAAAGGATTGTAAACACACCAATCAGCATTCTGTGTCTAGCTAAAGGTTTGTAAATGCACCAATCAGCACTCTGTAAAAACCCACCAATCAGCGCTCTGTGTCTAGCTAAAGGTTTGTAAACGCACCAATCAGCACTGTAAAACGGACCAATCGGTGCTTTGTAAAATGGACCAATCAGCAGGATGTGGGCGGGGCTAAATAAGAAAATAAAAGCTGGCAACCAGAGCCAGCAGGTCCCCTTCCAGGCTGTGGAAGCCTTGATATTTTGCTCTTCATAATAAATCTTGCTGCTGCTCACTCTGGGTCCGCACTACCTTTATGAGCTATAACATTCACTGCGAGGGTCTGCGACTTCATTCCTGAAGTCAGCGAGACCACAGACCCACTGGGAGGAAAAAACAACTCCGGACGCGCCACCTGTAAGAGCTGTAACACTCACTGTGAAAGTCTGCTGCTTCACTCCTGAAGTCAGCGAGACCAGGAACCCACCAGAAGGAAGAAACTCCATACCCATCTGAACATCTGAAGGAACAAACTCCGGACACACCATCTTTAAGAACTGTTAACACTCACCACGAGGGTCCACAGCTTCATTCTTGAAGTCAGTGAGACCAATAACCCACCGGAAGGAATAAATTCCGGACACAAGTGTGTTTGTGAGACAGCCCTAATTGGAGCTCATGTGGTTCACCAGCAGAACACTAATCTCCATCCCCCTCACTCTTTGCCTCCTTGATTGTTACAAGCTTACAAATAAACAGCGCTTAATAGCAGGTTTTCAATAGCAAATTCTACTTTTTACTAAGTTGAGAATTTCTTTTTTAAAGAAAAGAAAAAACAGAAGGATCTATGAATTCAAACCACACTTGTCATTGATCACCATTTAATTCTAAATGAGTCACTGTATGTTAGTGAATAAAAACTAGAGTTTAAAATCTTAAACAAAAAGAAGAGAGGATTTTCAAGGATGGTAGTGAACCAGCTCCATGCTTAGGGACTCAGGTAAGGCCAGGGTATGGACTCCTGATACCAGGGATCTTTAATCTAGGAATCAAAGGACCAAGTGATGGCAAAGATATTTAGGCAGTGAAAAGAAATAGTGGCCTGTATCTGTGTATAATGTGACTTCAGCGTGGAATTGGGGAGCTGCTTAGGGGGCTACCGCACATCTCTGAGATACTTAGGTGGACAGTGGCAGGTCACTCAGACCGAGGCATGAGTCCTGCCAGTGAAGTTCTGCCTTCGGGGTGATCTAACTAACTCTAGGTCTGGTTTTCCTCATTGTAAAAGAAAAAAAAATGTGGATAAATGAAATACATTCCTCTTTTCTCCAAAACAATAAATTACTGGTCGTTTGATTCAAATTCTGCTTAGTATGCATATGCTGTGTTTGTATGTTTCTGACTGTGAAGATAAAGGCAAAGAATCCTCGCTATCCTTACTCAGTGCCTTCCTCTACCATGCAGCAGGTAAGTGGAACTAACAGAACTCACTGTTCTTTGTTTCCTGCCCAGCTCCCTCTGCCTTGCTTTTCTGGGACCCCAAGAAATTCCTGTTGTGAAAACTGCAAGAAAAAACCCTGTCTCAGCCAAACAGAATTCATCCAAGGACCTCAGCGTGTGTGTGCTTTGGGGAAGGGTTAAGAAGGGAAGAATATTTTCCTTTCTTTTATTTTTATTTTTATTTATTTATTTTATTTTATTTTATTTTATTTTATTTTTTGAGACAGAGTCTCAGTCTGTCACCCAGGCTGGAGTGTAGCGGCATGATTTCGGTTCACTGCAAGCTCCACCTTCAGGGTTCACGCCATTCTCCTGCCTCAGCCTCCTGAGTAGCTAGAACTACAGGTGCCCGCCACTACGCCCGGCTAATTTTTTGTGTGTGTGTTTTTAGTAAAGACAGGGTTTCACCGTGTTAGCCAGGATGGTCTCGATCTCCTGACCTCATGATCTGCCCACCTCGTCCTCCCAAAGTGCTGGGATTACAGGCCTGAGCCACCGTGACCGGAAGAATATTTTCAAACAGCCAAGCTTGCCTGTGGTCAGCAGTATCCAAAGGGGATTTCCAGAGTTGAAGTACCCAAACTGGAGGAGTTTAAAAACTATTCATTTGCTAAAATACAGATTCTCTGGGCTCCCCACCCACATTCTGACTTGGAGTATCTGGGGCCAGAACCTACGTACCTGAATCTGTAAAAGCTGCCTAGATGGTTCTGAGTCTATACAGGTTTGGGGAATGAAGTTAGGAATATTCTCAATCATTGGCATTTAACAACAGTCTTCCTAGGAAAGAGTCACAGAGAAAATCCCAAATCCCAATGGTGATTTTTTTTTTATCTCAAAGCACACACAGAAATTGAGTTGTCTCACCTCTGCTCCAATCCTTTTAGAGAGACATTCTTTATAATAACCACTGGGTTTCCCAGTGAGTACTTGCAATAAAGGTACACCTTAACTATTCAATAAATGTATGAAGTTTATTTTATAGTGAGAACATGGTCACTTTCAAATTATGTATTTATGGTCTTAATAAAATCTTAAAAGAGCAAACCCTGAATGAACCTGGTTGCTAATTTCAGTCATGAATCCAGTGCCCAAGAGAAGTGGTGGCTCACGCCTGTAATCCCAGCACTTTGGGAGGCTGAGACGGGAGGATCATGAGGTCAAGAGATCCAGACCATCCTGGCTAACACGGTGAAACCCTATCTCTACTAAAAACACAAAAAAATTAGCCGGGCATGGTGGCGGGCACCTGTAGTCTCAGCTACTTGGGAGGCTGAGGCAGGAGAATGGCATGAACCCGGGAGGCCGAACTTGCAGTGAGCCAAGATCACACCACTGCACTCCAGCCTGGCTACAGAGTGAGACTCCGTCAAAAAAAAAAAAAAAAAAGAGAGAGAGAAGCCCATTTGCACAGAGCATGTTCTTGTCTGGAGCAGCAAGAGATTAGAATTTTTGCTGACCACAGTATACTAATTTATGTTGTGGCAACAACTCCTAAGATTTCAATAGATTAAAACTGAAAGTGTTTGTTTCTTGTTTATGCTATATGACCATTATGTGTCATCAGGGACTCTATTCCTCACAGTTGCCCTGAGACCCAGGCTAAGTGAGTAGCCACCATCTTGAACATTGCCAGTTTTTACCCAAGAGGGAAAAATTCTGGAAAAAATCTCATAGCAACAATTATCCCCCACTCCCAACTCATGAGCTAAGCTACTTGTGTGGCTTCACTATATCACAAGGGAGCCAGGAAATGCAATCCTAGCAGTTTATTGGAAGGGGAGAGAGCTAAGCATATTCTGTGAATGGTATCAATGATAAGCAGAGTTAATATTCATATCCTTGCAAATAATCTGTTCTTTAGACCATGCTCTTGAGTCAGAGCAGCCTGGACCAAAAATGCCCTTTACTGCTTTGCTGAGTGGTTTTTCACAATTTTCTTAATTCTTTGAGTCTGAATGGCCTCATCTATGAAATGAGGGTAATAAACCTTTAGCCACTCAGGCTTGCTGTAAGGATTAAATAATTTTTTAAAAAAAATGCAAAGTGCTTGGCACACAATGCACACTGAATGTTTGCAGATGTTGTTTCCAGATGTTGCCATTACTAAAGAGGAGGAACCAGTCTTGCATAGTAAGAAGTGGGTCTTGCATAGCAGACATCATAGCAGTCTTTCATAGCAGAAGTTGGGTTGGGCATGGAAAAGAACGTTTTGTCAGAGGGAGAATGATACATTATTCTTCTGTAATGGAGAATTCCCATAAAGGGCTGTTACAGGAATGTCTCAAGTTATCTTCCACACACAATCTCCAGAAAGTGAAAAATAAACCCCCTTTTGGATGACTTACAAGGAAGAAGACAGCCAGTTGATTTCACTTTCAGTTGCAAATGCTGCCCTAATCCATATGGGTTTCTGTTCTAAGATTCCATGATTCTCTTATAAGTTCATCTTTCCCTTTTCATGTACTCTCCCTCTTACTATGCAAATTCCTCGGTATATTTCTTCTGTTCACCCTTTGCAGCCACTGCCTCAATGGGACAGTTGCTGAACCTTTTCATGGTGTTCGTTTAGCCCAGAAAAGGAACAAATTTGTACTGTACTCTGTTCACACCTTCAAAGAAGAAATGCCCCTTGCTCATCTCTGTTCCTCCAATGCAGTCCTGAGCCAGGATCAAAGAAAGTGTCCAGGTATTTGAACAAACAAATGAATAAATGTGGTTCTTATTTTATTTAAAACTTTTTTTTTTGTTCTGAAAAAGACAAAAAACCTTCAATCAAATAAATAATTAGGCTGAGAGCAATTGAGGAACAAAAGATATAGTCGACTGATTTGACAGAAGTTAGCCAATTCCTAGCTGTCAGTTGACTTCTGTTTACCATCTAAATCATGTCTCTATCCTTCAGTTCATATTCAAGCCAAACATATCCCCTCTAGCATCCTCAAGTTACTTAAATAGGACATCAGAGCAAAGGGATCACAAAAACTTGATTAACTTCTTGAATTGAACTTTCAATGCCCCATATGGGTTGCTGATATATTGCTTGGATTTCTTTTTCTGAAACCAAAGCCTTCCAGGTAAAATAGAATTGAAATCATGCTGTTATGACTATCAATCCCTTGGTCTCTGAGAAGTCACTCAAAAATGAGCACTGGACAGCAGCACACAAAAAAGGCACAAGGGAAATGACAAACAATATAAATCAAAGGCAGAGCAGATGGCAGGAGCAGCTGTGGCCTGACAGCCGCACTTAGAATGTAGTGTCCTTCTTCCCCACATAGCCTGTATCAGCTCCTGTGACCCTGGGAAAGGAACAGATCAAAGTTCACTCCATCTCAAAGAAGCTGGTGTCCATTAATGCCCTTACAAAGCTTTCTCCTTGAAATAGCTCATTTCCATCACTACTTATCCTACACTGAGGTTTTGTGGATCCAAACTTTATTTTTTCTTCTCACTTTTTCTCCTGCAATAAACTAGGGTTAAAATTGGATATTACTAACTGGATATTTCCAAACATCTGGACAACTGGTTTTACACAGATTAACTAGTTTTTTTCCAGTAAAACTTTTTAAAATTATATTTATTGGGATTTTATTTCTGGCTATAAAAGTAATACCCTGTTCTATAAAAAATTGGAATCTTTTAAGAAGTATAAAAATTTTTAAATTCAGTGACAAACATTAGTAACAACTGGATTTATTTCTCTCACCTTCTTTCTATGGTTGCACACGTAAAGTGTTATGAATACTTTAGCCTTAACTATGCTCATAAATATATTTTTTATTATGTCTTCTACTTACTCAGGTTAAAGTCACAGAAGTGGGATTATTGGGTCTAAGGATATGAACCTTAGATTTCTAATATCTATTGACAAATTATCCTTCAGAATTTGTTTAAAAATATTATCCAAAGTAAATTGAGATATATTCAGGTCACCATCTCTTTGATAGCTTTGAATACAATGTGTGTGTTATCTTTATCAATTTGCTAGGTAAAGAATAAAATAACATTGTTTTAACTTCTCTATCATTGCTAATTTCGAACTATTGATTGATTGGTTGATTGATTGATTTTTGAGATGGAGTCTCACTCTGTAGCCCAAGCTGGAGTGCAGTGGCGTGATCTCGGCTCACGGCAACCTCCACCTCCCGGGCTCAAGTGATTCTCGTGCCTCAGCCTCCTGAGTAGCTGGGACTACAGGTGAGTGACATCATCCCTGTCTAATTTTTTTTTTTTTTTTTTTGTATTTTAGTAGAGACGAGTTTCACCATGTTGGCCAGGCTGGTCTTGAACTTCTGAGCTCAGGCGATTGGCCCACCTTGGCCTCCCAAAGTGCTGTGATTACAGGCATGAGCAACCGTGCCTGGTCAGCTAGTTTTAAACTAATAATTTATTATACTATTTATTTTATTCTGTTAATTTTTTCTTAAAATAATGTTTATATGTTTTCCTCTCCAATGGAATTATAAATGCCTTGAAGTTAAGGCTTACATAATTCTTTCTATATTTTTACCTTAGTCTCTAGCACACTGCCATTAAAATTACATGCATCTTGATAAATATTATTAAATCAATTTTGTAGATATAGTTGATCTTAAATGATTAGCTGTAGCACCAGAGAGGGGATTTCAGAGAGCTTCCAATATGGTAGAATAATATTTCTGTGGACATTAAAACCTCTTTCGACAAAGATTCTTTAAGGGTTTTTTTTTGTTTTCAATTTTAAAATGAGGATAACAATACTAATTATAATTTTTAAAAAGTTATGTAAAGCAAACCAGATAATATGAGTGAGAAAATGATCTGGAAAAAGTCACCATAGCATAGAAATAAAATAATTGTATTCAAAAGATAGTGTTAATCATTGATCATATCCATTAATGAAAGGCTGTATGAAGATAACCTTTCTAATTTCAGTTTCTTCATCTTTCATTTATTATACTTTTACAAACTTTAAAGTCTATAATATTTGTCCCCAAGATTAATAATAAACTTCGTAAAAGGGAAAAATGCAACTGTTACTATGTATATGTTCTTGTTAAGTTTTGTTATTATTCATTCCAGACAGAATTTGAATTGACAGTTTTCAATAATAAATCCAAAATACTGAGACATATTAAGAAACGAAGCCCTGGCCGGGCACAGTGGCTCACCCCTGTAATCCTAGCACTTTGAGAGGCCAAGGTGGGCAGATTCTGAGGTCAGGAGTTTGAGACGCGCCTGGCCAAAATGGCAAAACCCCAACTCTACTAAAAACTACAAAAATTAGCCAGGCGTGGTGGCAGGCACCTGTAATCCCAACTACTTGGGAGCTGGAGGCAGGAGAATGGTGTGAACCCGAGAAGCGGAGCTTGCAGTGAGCCGAGATCGCACCACTGCACTCCAGCCTGGGTGACAGAGTGAGACTCTATCTCAAACAAACAAAAAAAAATGCAAAATATTAGGCAGGAGTGGTGGAACATGCCTGTAATCCCAGCTACTCAGGAGGCTGAGGCAGGAGAATCGCTGAAACCCGGGAGGTGGAGGTTGCAGTGAGCTGAGATCGCACCATTGCACTCCAGCCAGGGCAACAAGAGTGAAACTCTATCAAAAAAAAAAAGAAAGAGAGAGAGAGAGAGAAAGAAAGAGAGGGAGACAGAGAGAAAGACAGAAAGAGAGAGAGAGGAAAGAAAGAAAGAGAAAGAAAGAAAGAAAGAAAGAAAGAAAGAAAGAAAGAAAGAAAGAAAGAAAGAAAAGCCCAAAGAAAAATACAATTTGGCAAATAAAAAGAAACCAAGGATATACACAGAAACGTACACCAAAAGTATGTACACAGTTGTTAAAACTGGATTACTTTTAACTTGAACTAAGCGCTTTGTAATAGACTACAAATAAAAGGAACAAAACTGACAGTTACAAAATTTAAAATCCCAAAAGTAAAAGGTGCTCAGGAAAAACAGTTGTTTCTGTTTCCTCTACCAACCCCTACTTCAACTGCAGCATCTAGGTCTCAGAGAAATTTTTACCCAGGACCATGATGCGAGACAATTTGTGAAACTGTAAAACAATATCCTTAATGGCAAACTTAATGGAAATTTTCATAACCTGAGCACATAAGGCTAAAAATATTCATAAATACAATTCTACGGGAAACTAAAGAAACAGTTTAAGTAGCCAGATTTTAAATTTGTTTGGACTTGGAGTAAAATTCAGATGATCTAAACTAGTTCTAGACATTTTTCCAAGGGAAAAAAACCACTGGGCTTCTACTCTTCAAAGCCCAATTTAGTAGATATGGGTGAGCACCAGGAAACTGTGGTTTTTAAAAGCTCTCTGGGGAAGCCTGATGTACCTCTCCAGCTGAAAGCCACAGCTTTGGAGAAATGAATGAATTGTCAATCCTGAAGGAATCAATGAAGAATATTAACTTACAAAATTATAATTCCTGCTCTTCCTATTAGCCCAATGTCTTCTCCAACTAACACCAAATTCTTTAAGAGCAAGCTCTGTGTGATCACAAGGAACATATAAGGTAGATAAGTAGGGAGAAAAGGTGAGAGTCAAAATAGAAAGGGGTGATAGAATAGACAAGAAAATATTGCTACAGAAAAACTGTTTGCTGGGACTTCTGTTATGCAGCCGAATACTGTGAGTGATGACAGGAGGTCATGCAATCCAGGGAGTCAAATGAAAGTGAGCTTCATGAAAAACATGCTAAGACTGGGTACTTGGATATTCTCTGAGTACTTTGGAGAGAAGGAGGACAAAAAAGGGCTCACTTTGAGAAGGAGCCTCATCCGTGGGGCAGTCAAAGACTTCTCCAGAACAAAGCAGCTATCCAAAATGGTGGCTTTGCTGGTCCTCAGTATCTTCCCTAGGAGACAGGGCAGAGATTATTTATGGCCCTTCAGTGTCTAGCACAGAATTTAATCCTCAGTTCTGGATTAGCCTTTTCTACCTCTAACCCTAGACTCTGCTCAGAGAGACTGCTGAGCGTCTTACCGCTGCAGAGGTCGTTTAACTGAAAGATCCCAATAGAATTGATTTTGGCCCTTGACAGGACGTAGAGACTTCACTCTTCATCCCAGGAACTCTTGAGCTATCTTTTCTTTTATCTCCCCTTTACCCAGTTTTTCTCCAGCCATCACAAGTCTAAAAGGGTGAGCAGAATTCCAGTGGTAGGAGGAATGAAAAGATTAGAGATCAATGGACATGTTGTATGACCTTAAAAAAAAAAAAGCCCTTTTATTTCTCTATGTGTCTTTTTTAATGGTCTATTAATCCTGAACTCTGGCAGTCTGCAGTATTTGTTGAAACTGTGTTTGTGTGTGTGAGTATGAGTGTCTGTGTGTAGGTAGGTAGATATGCACATGTAATTAAACTTTAACTTTAAAGATGCCATGAGTTCAGAAAGTGATAAAATTCCTAGTTTGGCAAATATTTCCCCATAATAATTTAATAGGCCAATACTAGAATAGTCTGTATCTTATTTTCATATCTAATCCTATTTTATTTTCCAAACCATTAATAAACATCATCTCATTAATTCCAAAAATCATTAATCTCATTCCATGTTTTTCATATATGAAGAACTAAAATCTATCTTTTTTCCTCTCTTTAATTACACATGCAGATGTCTAGAATAACAACACTAGTGATAAATGTATAGTGAACTCTATCCACTGGCAAGTAATTATATTTCTTTTGAAATAATGATAAATAAAGAGGAAGCTAAATGTGTACAGATACTGTATCAAAATAATAGAGTGCTTTCTAATACCCATTTCTTATTTGTGCATGATGATTTAACATGATGATTTGTGCATGATGATTTAACAAATGCAAATTCTGGCTCCAGGCGCCACAATGTTCACAAAAGATACTTGTTTATAAACGTCACAGCAGCAGTTCATCTAGAGGCCGGGATTGGCAGCTGGTTGAATCATCATTTTCACATTTCATGAGATCTAAATATCTAGGTCCAAGCTTGACCCAGAATTGTGAATGGCAATTTTCTGTTTTCTTATTCACTCTCCTCCAGTCCCAAAGTATATATACTATTTCTAGGGAGACCAAGTTCCCCTCAGCTGTATTAATGAGGTATTTGTGTCTTCACATTCTCCTAACATTTTCCCTTTGCTAAATCCTGGCTTGAGATACTCTCATTCTATTTTTAAACCCCCTACCCAAAGCCTGGTCTTGATTTTTAAATATGATGAAATTTATGCAAAAGGAACTTCAAATATATCCATTAATTTTTTCAAATTGTGTGCACTCTCATTGACCCAACATATATCAAGGCCTCCTACAAGAATTTTGTTTTACATTTGAATTAAGGCATATGCTCCTGTTCAGCTACAGTCCACATAAAAACACTGAGTGATATGTCTGATATCTGCATATCTGAAGAAAGAAAAATTTTGGGAAATGGAGAGATGCTCCCAAAAGCACAGAAAGGATGTAACAGCAACAGGTACACTTCCACTGCATTAAAAGGGGAGCTTGGCCACAAAGAACATTTGATATGACAGCCATATAGATAAAATGCTTTCAAAAAGTTTTATCCAACTGCAAGGTACTGCATTTATATAATTGCTGGACATTGTGAAATGTGTTTTCTCTCTCCCTAAATGCATCTTAATAAGCCATTACAGGTCTATTTTTGGTCTCAGTTGTCCTTTCCAATAGACCATCTGTTAGAAAGACAGTGTAGGAAGTGCAGGTTTGCAGAATGTGTTTGAGTAGCTTTGCCTCAGACAAGCCAAGTGACCTTGAGCCACTTAGTTTTTTGGTGAATTTTTTTTTTACTTTGCAAAACATCTAGAAAAGTGACTATGAGGATTGGTGTTGGTGGGAGAAAAACTGGTTGTTGAAACATCTTTGTGGGGAGGTAGTGGATTAAGGGAAAGTCCCATCAGGGAAAAAAAAAATGGCTCCAAAGGGAACAAAATGTAAGTGCATCTCTGTATGCAAGGAGAGATAATGGCAAGATTGACAAGAGAGGTAAAACTGTTTTGTAGAAACATGATAAAATAATTAAATTCATTAAAATTGTTATGCTTCAAATGTTTCAGATATTATGCTGAGTATTACATTCAAATGAGGAAGAATAATATATATCTAATTCGTTATGATGAATGCAACCCCATAAATGCTGTAGATGGAAGATTATTGAAGGATAGAGAAGGGAGCAATTTAATTTGCTGAAAGTTTTAAAGGTGGGTTGAAAAATCTCAGAAAAGATCCATGAAGAAGCTGGCATGAAGAAGATGGATGTTGAGTGGAATTTTGATAGATAAATAAGTTGCGAAAGGGAATGACAGGGCGTTTAAAAAAAAAAAAAAAAAACAGGGATGCTACCGGCATCGTGTGGATAGAGGCCAGGATTGCTGCTGAACTTCCTACCGTGCACAGGATAGTCTCCTATAACCAAGAATTATCCGTAACGAAATGTCAGTAGTGCTGAAGTTGAAAAACTTCTGCTGTTAATTATGGGCTTCTAACCTAAGGGCATCACTAGTACGTTTTGAATGAGGGTTTTAAAAGATTATTCTGGCCACCATGTGGTAAACTGACTTGAGTCAGAGAGAGGACAGGATAAGAGAAGACAATTAGAAGCAACAGCAGTAGTTTAAGTGATAGATAATGGTGGTTTGAACTATGACTGTGACAGTGGAGATGGAGAAAAGTTGACACAATCAGTATGTGTTCTGAAGGCTATGAACAGTGGGTGGCAACGGCTGTGAAGAGAGGAGTAAGGAAAGGGTGTGTGGATCCATAGATTATGCAGCTAAGTGGATGGGAGAAGTTTGGAAACATACATAGGGAATAAAA